>NC_000010.11:86809761-86961277 GCF_000001405.40 Homo sapiens
CCATTAAACAATAACTCTGTAGTATTCCTTCCTTCCTGCCCCTGGTAACCACTATAGTACTTTCTGTCTAATATGAATTTGCCTGTTCGAGGTGCCTCATATAGGTGGAATTGCATATTTGTGCCTGGCATATTTCATTTAGCACATTTTTTCAAGGCTCATCCATATAGCACGTATCAGTACTTCATTTCTTTTAGTTGCTGAATATTATTATTATTATTATTTTTGAGACAGAGTCTCACTCTGTCTCTTAGGCTAGAGTGCAGTAGCATGATCTCGGCTCACTGCAACCTCCGCCTCCCGGGTTCAAGCGATTCTTGTGTCTCAGCTTCCCGAGTAGCTGAGATTACAGGCGCCCACCACCACGCCCGACTAATTTTTGTATTATTATTATTTTTTAGTAGAGACAGGGTTTCACCATGTTGGCCAGGCTGGTCTTGAACTACTGACCTCAGGTGATCCACCCGCCTCAGTCTCCCAAAGTGCTGGGATTACAGGCGTGAGCCAACACGCCTGGCTGCTGAATATTATTTTATTGTGTAGAGTAATGTATTCATTCGTTGGTTGATAAGGCATTTGGGTTATTTTCACCTTTTGGCTGTTGTTCCAGATAATGCTGCTATGAGCATATTTGTACAGGTTTTTGTGTGGAAATATGTTTTTGTTTCTCTTCGGTATATAGGAAAAGAATTACAGAATCAACTCTGTGCTTAACCATTTGAAGAACTGGTTTTCTTTTCCAAAATGGCTGCACCATTTACAGCCCTGCCAGCAGGTTATAAAAGTTCCAGCTTCTCTGCATCCTTGGCAACATTTGTTATTATTTTTTTATTATAGCCACTCAGGTGGGTCTGAAGTATTTTGTCGTGTTTTTTATTTGTGTTTCCTTGTTACTGATATCGTTCAGCATATTTCCATGTGCTTATTGCTCATATGCATATGTTCTTTGGAGAACTGTCTGAGATTCTTTGCTCATTTTTAACTGGGTTATTTCTCTTTTTATTGTTGAATTTCAATGGTTCTTTATATATTCCAGATACAAGTCCTTATCAGTTACATGATTTACAAAAATTTTCTACCATTCCCATTCCTTGAGTTGTCTTTTCACTTTCTTGATGGTGCCCTTTGAAGCACAACATTTGTGTGTGTGTGTGTGTGTATTTTTAGTAGAGATGGGGTTTTGCCATGTTGGTCGGGCGGGTCTTAAACTCCTGATCTCAGGTGATCCACCCACCTTGCCGGTGAACCACCACAGCACCCGGCCCGTTTTTGGTTTTTTTGTTTGTTTGTTTTTTGAGCCAGAGTATTGCTCTGTTGCCCTGGCTGGAGTGCCGTAGTGCCATCTTGGTTCACGGCAACATCTGGCTCCCGGGTTCAAGTGATTCTTCTGCCTCAGCCTCCCGAGTAGCTGGGATTACAGGTACACACCACCACACCCTGCTAATTTTTATATTTTTGGTAGAGACAGAGTTTTGCCATGTTCCTCAGGCTGGTCTCAAACTCCTGAATTCAAGTGATCCACCCGCCTCAGCCTCCCAAAGTGCTGGGATTACAGGCGTGAGCCACCACTCCCGGCCAGAAGCACAATTTTTAATTTTTATGATGTTCAGTTTATATTTGTTTTTCCCTTTGTTGCTTGTATTTTTGTGTGTCTTAATATGTCTTCTAAGTCTGTTTTAATGGATGGATTCTCCCCTTCCTGCCTCTCATTTATCTGTTGAAGAATTTTGCCTATTTGACCTGTAGAGTTTCCTATGGTCTGGATTTTTCTAATTATGTTCCCATGGTACAGTTCAGCTTCTCTCTGTCTCTGTATTTCCTGCAAATTGGCAGCTACACCAAGAGGTGTGATCAGATTCTGATGTTCAAGGGCTTTTGTCTATCTTACAGGCAGTCAGTATGCTATTATATTAGGAGACACACAATGTGTGGTTGTGTCTCTGTGATATTATTTTAGTAGCTTTGATGCTGAATGCTGATTAGGTCTTCATTGGGGTTTGCAAATGTATGATAGTCTAATTCTGTTATCATTTGTTAGCTGACAAACTTTTGTTTAAATTTTATTTTAAAAATTAATAAAAGCAGGGACAGGAGGATCGCTTGAGCCCAGGAATTGAAGACCACCCTGGTCAACATAGTGAGACATCATTTGTACAAAAAATTAGAAAAATTAGCCAGGCGTGGTGGTGTCAACCTGTAGTCCTGGCTGTTCGGGAGGCTGAGATGAGAGGATTGTTTGAGCCCAGGAATTTGAGGGTTGTGGTAAGCTCTGAGCATGCCACTGCTCTCCAGGGCAAAAAAGAAAAAAAAAAACCCTAAAAATAGAGCTTTTGGGGATATACAGTTCTATGAATTTTAACACATCTATAGATATAACAAACTACAAGTCATTATACAGAGCAGTTCAGTCACCGGAAAACCTCCTGCTATCCCTTTGCAGTCACACCCCTACTTCACCCCAACTCTGGAAACCAGCAACCTGTTTCCTGTCACTCTAGTTTTGTCTTTTTGAAGTACCCTCTTGAGACTGTGTTATTTAGCATTATGCCTTTTGAGGGTCATCCAGGTTGTTGCATGTGTGAAGAGTGTTGTCCCTTTCTGTGGTTGATTATCATTCCATTGGATGGATGTGCCAGTTTTTTATTCGTTCACTTTTAGAAGGACTTACGTGTTGTGTCCAGTTTTTGGCGATGATGAATAGAGCTGCTCTATACATTCATGTATACATTTCTTGCTTGCACATAGGTTACATTTCACCAGCTAAGTACCTAGGAATGGGATTACCAGCATATTCCTACAGTGCTGTATGCCTTTTAGTTCTCCAGGGAATAGGAAAGACAAGATACATGCTTGTTCTCTCCTTTTACTGGCAGTTTTTAAAAACAGACTGTTTCTTAGAGCATTTTCAGGTTCACAGCAAAATTGAAGAAGTACGAAGAGTTCCCATATCCCCCCAATCCACATGTACATAGCCTGCCCCACTCTCAACATCCCCCACTAGAGTGGCACATTGTTTCCAATTGATGAACCTATGTTGACATGTCCTTATTACGCAAAGTCTTTAGGCTTCATTAGGGTTCACTCTTGGTGTTGTACATTATATGGGTTATATTATATATTAAATGCAGAGTGATGTCTATTCACCATTATGGTATCATAGAGAATAGTTTCACTGCCCTATAAATCCTCTGTGCTTTCTGCCTATTTATCGCTCCCTCCTCTCAACCCCTGGCACTGATCTTTTTACTGTCTTCATAGTTTTGCTGTTTCCAGAAATGTCATATAGTTGGAATTGTAACAATTTTAAAAATAATGAATTTGGTTCCCTATCTTCTCTGAAGGTGATTTTCTTTCCTTTTTGTTTTTTGAATTGTTATGAACTCATTTGTTGGGGTTCAGTCCATTGTAATTCTTACACCTGTTAAAGCTCAAATTGTTCGTTTTTGGCCAAGGGCAGCCTCTTCTGGTAGGCTTCTGAGTCCTTCTAAAGTGACTCATAGTCTGTGATTTGTCCCCTCACTACCTTATAAAATGAGACTTTCCGGGAACATCTTTTACAATTTCTGCCTCACACCTGGAATATCTCCAAGAAGCCTTGGGTTTTTTTCAGTGGGAAATGGTATTTCAAAACCACTGCCAGGACTGTTGGGGTGTTCTAATGCTTATTGCTACTGAGTTAGTCTTCGTTTCTAATTCTAAGTGGATAGTGCTGGGAGGTACTACCCTCGGAATCCTGGTTTTCAAGGACATAGGTGTGGTAGAATATTTGATAATTACTCGTTTATTTTGTCACATATTATGTCTCTGACAGTTACAAAACAACAATACTAATATATCCACCATGGGTTGAAACCAGTTAAAACCATTCTTTGCATGCGCTCTCCATTTCCCCCCATTCCCTGTGCAGTTGTCTTCCATATATCACCAGGGCATGTTGCCATTAGAACGCACACCCATTATGCGCCCTTGTATTCTGTTCCTCTTCGTCCCTGTGTAGTCGACAGGTAACTATTTAGCGCTCACCTCTATTCCTATGTCAGTATCCCTCTATCTACATGGGTTCTCTCAAACTCATTTTCTAGTAGATATCTCTAGAAGGGCTTATGGGAACAATATTCCCTGAGTTTTTGTATGTTGATAATATGTATAATGTTTATACTCGAAAGTTCTACTGGCCATAAAATTCTTGGCTTTCATTTTCCTTCCTTGAGTATTTTATTTTCTGGTATAATATGTTGCTTTGGAAAGTTTGTTGTTAATGTAGTTTTTTTCCCTTATAAATTACTTGATGTTTTTGCCTAGATGCTCAAGTTTATTTTTTCCTTAAAAATCCTGCAATTTTACTATATCTTGGTATTGATTATTTTGGCCCAGTATTTTCCAGTATGCAATGTGTGCCTTAAATATGTAGTTTCTAATTTTTTTCTGGTGTCCTGGCATGTCATCCAGGCTGGCCTCTAATTCCTGGGCTCAAGTGATCCTCTCGCCTCAGCTTCCCCAATGCTGAGAGTATGGGCTGCATTAGCTCTTTTTTCTTAATTTTGGCAAAAATTTCTTGGATTACAGTTTTTAGTGTTGCTTGTTCTCCTGCTTTTGCTTTCTCCAGGGATTCCTGTTATATAAGAAATAGGAACAATTTTTGTTGCTTTCTTTAGAATCCTATTATTTCATCATTTCGTTTTTGGTTTTTAGAATTATCTTCCTTCTTACTTTCAATTTCTCGAAGGCATTATCTGTAATATTCATTCTTGTGTTCCTTGGGTTTTATTCTTCATTTCTCAAATAAATTTTTAAATTTCTAATTACTTACTGAGTCATGTTCTCACATTTCTGAGTTTCTTCTGTTCTGATGTTGTTTTTCATGCTTTATATAATTTTCTTAATGTTTTTAGCTCATTTTGAAATACTAATAGTAGGTTCTAATTTTAATCTCCTTTGTGTTTCTGGCCTTCTAGCATGATGTATTTGTCTGTAAGGAGGATGTTGTTTTGTTGTTTTGTTCCCGATTCCTTCACTGTTTTTTTTTGTTTGTTTGTTTTTTTGAGACGGAGTCTTACTCTGTCGCCTGGGCTGGAGCGCAGTGGTGCTATCTCGGCTCTCTACAACCTCTGCCTCCTGAGTTCAGGCAATTCTTCTGCCTCAGCCTCCCGAGTAGCTGGGACTATAGGTGCGCGCCACCATGCTCGGCTAATTTTTGTATTTTTAGTAGAGACAGGGTTTCACCATATTGGCCAGGCTTGTCTTGAACTCCTGACCTCGTGGTCTGCCGCCTCGGCCTCCCAAAGTACTGGGATTACAGGCGTGAGCTACCATGCCTAGCCCCTTCCCCATTTTCTTATAATAACTTCTATGAGATTTGGATCTGAAAACTTTGCCATGGGTCAGTTTTATTGGAAGTTCATTTTCCTGAATGTTTGGAAGAAAGCCTAGTGACTCAGGATAGCATTTCTAATTTCACAGAGTTATTTTTCCGTTATGAAACACAGATTGCCTTTGAGGTCTCCTGTTTCTACTACTGCCCCTCACTTTTATGTGGGCCTCCTCTTTCCTTTGTTTCTGGAGAACCTTTTCCTGTTCAATTCTGTTTTAATTTTCAGCAGTTTTTTTTCTGTGTGAGTGAGGCTGTTTCCTAGCAGGGAGGTCTGGTTGGTCATTTTCAAGTTCATCAGGGCTTCATCAGGGCTTGTCCACTTCAACCCTTACGCTATAGGCCCTTTGCACCATCTGCATCTTCAAATGTGCCCACTGTTCGTTCCAATGAAGACTTGTTTGTTATTTGGCTTGTAGAGGGACATGGAAGAAGCAAATCAGTCTTTACCTCTCTCAAGGCTGGAGATTTGCAGGCACTGGTTTTATCTGTAACTGGAGATGAGAGTTCAGGCCAAACACTGGTTTAAAAATCTGTATATGAAATAGCGATACCCTGGAATCTAGGACTGAGATCCTGTGCCTCACACCCACCCACGCGGCCAAGTGCCTACCTGTGGCAGTGACTTCTTAGTGCTCGTCCACATCTAGGTCTTCTTTAGTCCCAGGCTGATGGGAACATTTAATTCCTTTGCTCCTTGATGTTAGATGGGATCAGGTGACTGATGCTGGCCAGTGGACTTTGAGGGAGGTTGTGTTACTTCTGAGTTGGCATAGTGAAAAGCCCATGAAGATGCTCTGCTCTCTTTCTTGCCTAGGATATCCCTGGTCATAGGATTCATTTGATGCAGGAACAAGGTGGTCAGCCTGGCTCTTTGAATAACTGGAAATGGCCCCTGCATACCCGTGTTGGACATATTACATGAGGCAGAAATAAATTTCTGTTGTGCTAAGCCATTGAAATGTTGGGGTTGTTACCACAGCATCACTTAGACCTGTGCTGTCTAACATGGCAGCCACTAGGCTACATGTGGCCATGAGCACTTGAAATGTGGCTAGTCCTAATTAAGATGTGCTGTAACTTTAAAATAATACTATATTTGGAAAAAAAGGTGTAAAATATCTTAATAATTTTTATATTACATATTAACATCTTGTATTCATTGGGTTAAATAAGATGTATTGAAATTATTTTCAGCTTTCTCTTTAGTTTTTTTCATGAAGCTGCTTAGAAAATTTAAAATTATACACGTGGTCACATTTGTGGCATTATCCGCAGCACTGACCCCTACCTTAGTAATTCAGTACCCCTCCCTCATTTTGACAAAAGCTGGTCAGTTGATTGTCAGAGAAACTGAATCAGTGAAACTCCAGATTTGAAGAGAGTACAGAAGAGGAGTACACTACAGATGGGGATTAAGCGAAAGTCGACCTACTGGATCAGGAGATACACTTCCTTGTCTTTAATTTCTGTCCATGTCCTTTTTCCACTTGTTTGCAGAGCACTGACAATTGGAGTTATACACTTCACCTAGGAGACTGAAGGACTCTTTTCTAAGAAATCGAATGGCTTCAGGAAAGAGATCAACAGAGCCCGATATTTAAGGCTCTCCGTATCTGCACAAGCAGGAGTTACCCTGCAGTAAAGCCTGCTAGTTCACAAGCCTCACCTACATGCAGAGAGGGTCCAGTTGGGGTTGACGAACCACTCTTTATGGGAACAGCACCCAAGATACACCAGACACTGGTGGAAAATTCTAACAGGAATTAACTTGTTAAGGGAAAGATAATAATAATATGAGTCTATGTGCATATTATCAGTGATCTGTTTGCATATTAAATAATTCAGATAATGAAAGTACAAGTGAAAAAATGAGTCTTTGCGATAAAGCTCTTCTCCAGCCATCCCCATTTCTACAATATTTTTTTCCAATTTTTAAAATCAAGGTAAAATATACATACCCCAAATTTATCATTTTAACCATTTTTAAGTATATAGTTCAGTGGTATTAAATACATTCATAATGTTGTGCAACCATCACCACCATCCATCTCCCATACTCTTTTCATCTGGTGAAGCTGAAAATATACTCATCTTGTAAAGCTGAAATAACAACTCTCCCTTCTTCCCTTTCCCCATCCTTGGCAACCATGATTCTACTGATGTCTCTATGATCTTGACTACTAAGTACGTCATATAAGTGGCATCATTTAGTATTTTTCTTTTTGGTGGCTGGCTTATTTCACTTAGCATAATGTCTTCAAGGTTTATGTTGTGGCATGTCTCAGAATTTCCCTCCTCCTTAAGGCTGAACAATACTCCATTGTATGCATATACCACATTTTGCTTATCCATTCATTCATCCATGGATACTTGGGTTACTTTCACATTTTAGCTGTTGTGAATAATGCTGCCATTAACGTGGATATGCAACTAAAAGAGTACTGTAAACAAATGCCAACAAATTGGATAACCTGGATGAAATGGACAGATTCCTAGAAACACAAAACCTACTAAGACTAAATAATGAAGAAACAGAATATCAGAATAGACCTGTAACTAGTGAGGAGATTGAATGAGTAATCAAAAATCTCCTGACAGAAAAGAAAAACCCTGGACCTGATGGCTTCACTGGTGAATTCTACCAAACATTTAAGGAAAAACTAATACCATTCTTCAAGTTTTCAAAAACAAAAAAAACTGGAGAAAGAGAACCCTTTCCAACTCATTCTATGAGGCCAACATCACACTGACACCAAAGTTAGACAAAGATACTACAAGGAAACTACAGATAATACTTCTTAGGAACGTTGATGCCAAAATCTTCAATAAAGTACTAGCAGAGTTTCCTCTAATATTTTAAGAAGTTTGCTGAAGTGTGAATAGTTCTTTGATTAATATTTTTTCGAGACGGAGTCTCACCGTGTTGCCCAGGCTGGAGTGTAATGGCATGATCTCAGCTCACTGCAACCTCTGCTTCCCGGGTTCAAACGATTCTCCTGCCTCAGCCTCCTAAGTAGCTAGGATTACAGGCACCTGCCACCATGCCTGGCTAATTTTTGTACTTTTAGTAGAGACAGGGTTTCCCCATGTTGGCCAAGCTGGTCTCGAACTCCTGACCTCGTGATCTGCCCTCCTCGGCCTCCAAAAGTGCTGGGATTACAGGTGTGAGCCACCGTGTCCCGCCAGCTAATAATTTTAGGGAGCAGATGAAGAGGTCTTCAGACTGCTTTTAGCTCAGGTTTTTTTGTTTTAAAATTTATTAAGTGGAAAGAAACATGTTAACTGAAGATTGAAGTTTGCTGAAGTATGAATAGTTCTTCGGTTAATAATTTTAGGGCGCAGATGAAGAGGCTTTCAGATTGCTTTTGTCTCAGGATTTTTTGCTTTAAAATTTATAAAGTGAATGGAAAGAAACGTTAACTGAGGATTAGTGCTAGTTTTTCTTGACAGGTCATTTCCTATAGGGAGGGCAGTAGTATAAGCAAAACAACAAAATATTCAAAATTCTCAAATAAGTACTATTTATTATTGAAAAACTCAGATAAATGTAGAAGTTATTTTTTCTCTCTATTGAGCAGCAGTTACATATGCTAGAATCATAGTTTGAATGATTCAGACTGTGTACCTGTGATCTGACATACCTGGATTGGAGTTCCATCTCTGCCACCCACTTTATTTGACTCCATAGAGAAATTACTCAAGCCCCTTAAGACAGACACTGAAATAGGATACAGTTTCCAAGAAGGCAAGATTTTTTGGATTTTTTTGTTGTTGTTCATTGCTGTATGCTGAGGTTTAGATTAGTTCCTGGGACACAGAACTAGCAGTCAGTAAATACGTTGAATGAACCCGAAGAATTCCTGCCTCCGAATTGTTTTGGGGATGAAATGCGGTAATGCATGTAAAGCATTGGGCATGCAAGTGAAGCCAGCCACGTATTAAACAGTACTCAGCTCTTACCTCTGTATCTTATATTCTTATTTCCGTGACTGTATCCTCACACATGAAGAAATGGCTACTTATTTATTATTATTATTACTATTATTATTGCTACTTATTTTTTAAAGCCACTTACATCTCTGGAGATCTCTGTATGTGTGTTAAAAATACCATGTTTTGTAACAATTGGCTTGTCTTAGAAAACTTTTCAATTATACAGAATTTGAGATCTTTACAACTTGAATTTTCTTTTTTTTCTTTTTGAGTCTCGCTCTGTCTCCCAGGCTGGAGTGCAGTGGTGCGATCTCAGGTCACTGCAGTCTCTGCCTCCTGGGCTCAAGCGATTCTCCTGCCTCAGCCTCCTGAGTACAGGCACGCGCCACCATGCCCAACTAATTTTTGTATTTTTAGTAGAGATGGGGTTTCATCATTTTGGCCAGGATGGTCTCGATCTCCTGACCTCGTGATCCGCCCACTTCGGCCTCCCCAAGTGCTAGGATTACAGGCGTGAGCCACCGTGCCCGGCCACAACTTGAATTTTCATAGCAAACTAGTTTTTATTGTCAAATTAGAAATTTATGCTTGAAGCCTAGTGCTTCTTTTGCCTATGCATCTCATCTAAAAGTAATGGCACTTATCACGTCAGCCTCATGGATTGTGGTAGTGGTTGTTATCCTTGGAATTACCGGTAGGGTAACAGTCTCCAGGCATACCATGGGTTCTTCAGTTATGAGTGGCATAGCTTATGTACATGTTAACTGTGAATAATAAACGATTTTTCCAACTTACTGCAATACTCTTATTTATGTCTGTAATGTGAATTGTCCAGAGGAGAAGTTGTGGTCAATTGATGATTAGGCTGATGGTTTCTGCTAGCTCTGGCAAAAGGTGAATCCAGTTGCTTTCTAGCACTTTTCCTACTAACCCTGCTTCTCACCCTGTACCTAATACCACATTTTTAGTTTAGTTTTTGTTTTGTTTTGTTTGAGACAGGGTCTAACTTTCTGACACCCAGACTGGAGTGCAGTGGTGTGATCATAGCTCGTCTGCAGCCTCCACCTCCCAGGCTCAAGTGGTTCTCTCACCTCAGCCTCCTGAATAGCTGGGACTACAGGATTATGCCCCCATGCCTGGCTGTTTAAAAATTTTTGGGTAGAGATGGGGTTTTGCCACGTTGCCATGGCTGGTCTCAAACTACTGGGTTTAAGCAATCCTCTTGCCTTGGCCTCCCAAAGTGTTGGGATTACAGGCATGAGCCACTGCACCCAGAATCACCTTTTTTTAGTTTGGAAGATGACATCTTTTTTTTTTTTTTTCTTAGAGAAGCTAGAGGGTACCAAATTAAAGTCTGTCAGTTTTTTCTGTCTCCACCTCAAAGATCACTGTATGACTTCTTTTCTTCCTTCTCGGCTGTTTCACACGAAGTTTTCCCTTTTTCTAAGGCTCAGTCCTTATCGTCTGAGACCTCCCTCTCATTATCCATCTCTCCATCCTTGACTGTTTCTAGTTCGATTGTAACACTGATCAAATCTCCTTCAAGTTCAAAACAAACCAGCAAAACCTTCCCTTGATACTGCCATTACCTCAGAGCTATGTACCGTGCTCCTTGCCCTCCCCCCGGACTTCTCCGGATGCTAGTTGATGCCTGTTTAGCACCTGTCACTGTTTCATATACTTCTTACTGGCCACTGCCTGGTTGGCATCTACCACTTCTCTGGAATCAGCAACCCCAATAGCAGATTTAACTGCTGGTTCCATGGTTTTTGTTACTTGTCCTTTTTTGCAGTGTTTTAAATAATAATCATCTTTTCACTTATTTTTTTAAAGAAGGTCATTTAAAAAAATCATCCTGCAGTGGAAAATTTGGAAAATATGGAAAAGTATAAAGAAGACAATTATCAACTGTAATACCAGCAGTACCTATTGTTAAGCTCTAGGGCATGTCATTTCCATCGCTCTCTTTTTAAATGCATTAAACAGAAAAGGATCACATGGTTATTTTGTGATCTGATTTTTTCTATCTTAATATATTGTGAGTATATTTCCAAGTACTTATTCTCGTGTGGCATAACATTTGTAGTTACACGAAGTGGCGGTGTTGAGACTGCCTTGGTTCAAATCCTGGCTTCAGTTACTGCTGCAGTGTGACCTGAAGGAAGTTACTCCTCTGGGTTTTAGTTTCCTCATCTTGAAAATAGTTATAACATTCTTACTAACTTCTAGGGTTGCTGTAAGTATTAAGTGAGCTAACACATAGAAATAATTCTTGGCACTTAATAAACATCAGCTGTTATTAACAATATTGTCTGACTGTACTATAATTTACATTATTTTTGTTTTTGCTTGTTCTGCCGTCATTAAGCGTGTTGTAAGACCATACGTGTCACTAAATCTGGGTGCACAACATGATTTTTTTTAAATGTGGATTTTTATTAGTAGGATTGCTCAGCTAGTGGGTACATCATGCTCATTGCTAAGTTGCTCTCTAGAGAGGCTGCATTTATACCTCCCAAGGCTGTACAGGAGACCATTAACTTCATTACATTTTTCCAAAAAACTTTATGCTATTGCCCACATTTTGTGCTGCTCCCTTGCTAAAAGTGAATAACAATATGATCATGTTGTTACCTCTCTCTTGCCAAAACGTTGACTTGATGATAAGGGGATCACTGTGACATCATCATTACCCACAGATGTTTCTTTTTTCTCCCCCCTCCCCCTCTCTTCTCCTTCCTCCCTCCTTTTGTTTCTTGAGACGGGTTCTTGGCTCTGTGCAGGCTGGAGTGCAGTGACACAATCATGGCTCACTGCAGTCTGGACCTCCCAGGCTCAAGTGGTCCTCTCACTTCAGCCTCCTGAGTAGCTGGGACAGCAGGCACGCACCACCACACCCAGCTAATTTTTGTATTTTTTGTAGAGAGGGGTTTTACCACGTTCCTAGGCTGGTCTCGAACTGCATGTTCCCAGGCTGGTCTCGAACTCGTGGGCTCAAGCGATCCACCCACCTCGGCCTCCCAAATTGCTGGGATTACAGACCCGAGCCAGCATGCCTGGCCTCACAGATATTTCTTGATCTACATTTTATTCATTATTTAGGTCCAACTTTAGCATGTGTCATGTATTTATATACAGGTTCTAAATCTTTCCATTTGAAAAATACTCATTTTTCTATCCAAAATGAATTCAATTTTCCTTTTTATTCTAGTCCCAGTCTGTGTATGAGTAAAACCCCAAGGACCCTGTATCCTGATTTTACTATTTTTTGTTAATGGTTTGAAACAGCTTTATTAAGATATAATTCACATACCATACAATTATTTAAAGGGCACACACTTCAATGGTTTTTAGTATACTCACGGATCTGTACAACCATTATCACAGTCATGGGCAATTGGTTCAGGATTTGGGAAGAAAACGTATGGCATTAGGATTAAAAGTACAATGTTTAGAGTCTGGCTGATCTGGGTTTAAATCCCAAATCTACCATGTATTAACTGTGTGACTTTGAGAAGGTTACTTAATCACTATGAGCTTCAGTTTTCTTTTTTTTTCCCGTTTTTATTTTTATTTTTATTTTTATTTTGAGGCAGAGTCTTACTCTGTCACCCAGGCTGGAGTGCAGTGGCGCGATCTCGGCTCACTGCAACCTCTGCCTCCTGGGTTCAAGTGATTCTTTGCCTCAGCCTCCCAAGTAGCTGGGATTACAGGCCACCATGCTTGGCTAATTTTTGTATTTTTAGTAGAGATGGAGTTTCACCATGTTGGCCAGGCTGGTCTCGAACTCCTGACCTCAGGTGATATGCCCGCCTCAGCCTCCCAGAGTGCTGGGATTATAGATGCAAGCCACTGTGCCGGCCTGAGCTTCAGTTTTCTTATCTGTAATATGGGATTACTAGTGGTATCTGGCTCATAGGCTTATTTTAAGGATTAAGCAAGATAATAAATGTATAGAATTTAGCACAGTAACCGGCACATAGTAAATGTTTGATAAATGGAACTCGGTAAATATTATTGCCATAATTTTGTTCTTAAATCAACCAGCAAGTGTTTGATGCTATTATTAGGCAATGTTATTAAATAATGGAAGGTGTTTCTACCAGTGATTCACAGTGTTTTCTGTATCCAGCAAGCTTTTAATACAGCTGCTTGTATTATTCTCCCGTATAAACTTCTAATTACTCTCTGAAAATACAGTTGGTTTCCTGTTGATAGAGAACAATAACAGTAGCTTACACTTAGTGCTTACTGTCTGCCTGGCACTGTTCTAAGTGCCATACCTATATTAACTCCTTTGATCCTCATTTTACAGATTGGGTACGGAGGAGGTTAAACAACTTGGTCAAAGGATTACAACAGTTAAGTGGTGGAGCCAGGATTCTAACCTTGGTATTCAGTCTGGCTACAGAGCCCATGCTCTTTCTTATCTTTATGTTCTTCTCTTTACTTCCTAAAGAATGGTAGATGCATTTCAAACATCCTGACATCTTGGCTGCTGAGGATTCTGTATGGAAAAGCACTATGAGGTCTTTAATGCTTGGTTGGAAGGAGAACTAAAATGAGCAGTTGTGTGTGCTGTGGGCATGGGCCTTAGGGCAGCTGTATATTTGTCATCTGGATCAGACCATACATTGGTGATCCTGCTTCACAACCATAGAATCCAGACCCTCCATGGGGCCATGACCAGCCACAAAGTATCCTCCCTGACCCTCCCTGTGGAATGCTCGTGTGAACTTGCACTACTCCCTCCTTGCATAGTATCAAATCCTGCGGATCCTTGGAAGGCCACCTTAAATTACTTCCCACCTGTGAAGCAGTAAACGTTAGTGCTCTTCGGTTAATCATCATGTGTGGTGGTATGACATTTGCAGTATCATCTGTTACCATTATTTAAATTTGAATATCTTTATGTCTTGGCTCCTCATGTTGATTACATGTTTCTTGCAGGCAGGGAACTATGTCTTAAATGTTTTAAAATTTGCTTTAATGGCCCCTGGAAATATTACCAAGGGTTGTGTGTGTGTGTGTGTGTGTGTGTGTGTGTTTCTTTCAGTCTCACTTGTCTGTCGATAATAGAATATCTCTGAAATTCAAACATACCTAGCCTCACAAACTTAGTCCCAAAGGTACATGCTGTGTTTTTGCAAGAAGGTGGGCAGTCCCTAGTTGGCTGTTGGATTATGTGCATTGTGTTGGGGTAGTAGTTGCTGCTAATTGCCTGTCTGCAGCTCCTCAGAACCTGTTGTTGCTTCCTTTTGAAACCTTCCTTGATTGCCCTAGTTGCTGCTCATCCTGCATCCAGGCCCCTCCCTTAGGCATGTGACTCACGGATTTAAAAGACAGTGCTGTACGGTAATTAACTACCTGCCTCTCATCACACAGAGATGAGAACTTAAATGTAGGCTTCCCATCTAAAACTTTCTTCCCTGTGTGTTTATCCACCCACGGACATGGAGCAGCGCTGTCCCACACCTGGCCTTTTGGAGGAAATATTGCTAGACTTATTTCTCCTGTTTGAAATCACTAGTTGGCATATTCGTGTACAAGGGATGGATTTTACATGGGTGCTCTTAATTGAAAATAATTTTATTTTCTGTAACTTCTAGAATTTTGTTAGTTTATTGATGCACACATATTGGGTGGGTGACAGTTGGGTTTTTTATGAAGATAATTTTAAGTTTTTAGTAAATAATTAAGTCAAGTATTACATGACAGTTTAATTGGACTAAATTCTGACATAACCTATACATCCTTAAGGTGACCGGTGGTTATCATTTTCTATGAAATGTAATTAGTTTTTCAGGAAACTTTGTCCACATAAAGGAATTGATTCCACCCTTACTACCTGCTTAGCAATCCTGAAAAATATTGTAAATATAATCTTAGAGTATGCATCATTAGGAAATAAATCTATTTTGAGAAATAAATTTTAACGTACACTATTAATAGGACATTTAGAAATGTAATTTTCTAAATATATTAGAAATAATAGGACATTTAGAAATGACATTCTTTTTTTTTTTTTCCTTGCTTTTTGTTTGTTTGTTTGTTTTAAGACAGGGACTCACTCTGTTTCCTAGGCTGGAGTGCAATGGCGTGATCATTGCTCACTGCAGCCTCAACCTCCTGGGCTCAAGCGATCCTCCCACCTCAGCCTCTGAAAGTGCTAGGATTACAGGGTTAGCCACCAGCACCCAGCCAAGAAATCCCATTCTAATGTATTAGTATGGTTTTATCTATTTTAGCAGTGTAAAATAAAGTCTTTGTGAATTATATATAGTATAATTGAATTGCCAAAATAAACATCCTTGCCCTCAAATTGCTTATGATATTGTTTCTGAAGCACAGACATAATCTTTTGACCTTTTAAGCAAAAAATTAATTTTTCATTTAACTTTTTTTGTTTGTGTGTGTGTGTGTGTGTGTGTGACAGGGTCTTGCCCTGTTGCCCAGGCTAGAGTATAGTGATGCAATGATGGTTTACTGCAGCCTCAACTTCCCAGGCTCAAGTGATCCTCCCACCTCAGCCTCCTGAGTAATTGGGACTGCAGGCACGTGCCACCATACTTGGCTAAATTAACATTTTTTTGTGGAAATATGGTCTTGCTATGTTGCCCACACTGGTCTTGAACTCACGGGCTGAAGTGATCCTCCTGCTTCAGTCACCCAAAGTACTGGGATTACAGGTGTGAGCCATCGTGCCTGGCCTTTCATTCAACTTGTAATTCACAATTTCCAGAAAAAAAGTTTTAAAATTACTGATGGAGGAAAGATCTTTGGGACTTGCTTGTAAATATGTTAATATTTGATCTTAATAAGCTCTGTCATACTAACACTGTTTATTAAACTTTGTGGTAGAATTACTACCCATAACTAAAGAATGAAATGCATATATTTGCAAATTGTTAAAAATTTATAAATCGATAGAAAAGTTGAATGAATAGTGAACACCCTTGTGTCTTTCACTAACTCAGTGGCTCACTTGCTAACGTTTGCCTCATTTGCTTTCTCTGTTTATAAAGACATATATACTTTTTTTATTCCCCTGAGCCATTTGAAAGTAAGCTGCAAACATCTTGACATTTAACTTCTAAACATTTTAGCACGTGTATCCTAAGAGCAAGGTTGTCTTCCTGAAGAGTTACATTATCATACTTAAGAGATATAGTATTAATACAATATTATCTAACATGTGATCCCTATTTAAATTTCATTTATTTTCTTCCCCAGAACAGTTCTTTATAGATGTTTTAATTTTTGATCCAGAAACCAAGGGAAAAAATATATCTATATCTATAGAGAGCTAAATAGATCTATATTTGATCCAGAAACCAATCAAGGAAACACACACACACACACACACACACACACACCCGCTTTTGGCTGTCATATTTCTTTAGTTTCCTTTACTTTAGGATAAGCCACTACCCCACCTCCATCTACCACCCGGCAGTGGTCTTTTATGAAATCTCATCATATTTTTCCTTTTCTTATATAAGCAGTCCCACAATTTGCTGGTTATATTTCATGCCTAGATTAAAATAAGAATATTTTGGAATGAATATACTATATAGATGGCATTAATTTTCCATTATATTACATTAGGAGAAGTAATTTTTTTTACATGTTTTTTTTCCGCTGTATAATAGTTTAGTATTTGTTTTAATATACTTCTGTTAAAGATTTGTGATACTGTGTCTTTAAATTTCAAAATAGAATTTTGTAATTTACTCTTAATTTTCTTAGTATGTTGTATTCCAAAATTATAGAAAGTGCTATAATAGACATTTATGTACATTACATAAAGTAATAGACATTTATGTAATGTGGGCATAGATTTAAATTTTTTTTAAATTGTTAAAATATTAACA
This sequence comes from Homo sapiens, assembly GCF_000001405.40. Classification (NCBI taxonomy): domain Eukaryota; kingdom Metazoa; phylum Chordata; class Mammalia; order Primates; family Hominidae; genus Homo; species Homo sapiens. Next base: position 86,826,940 of record NC_000010.11, read on the forward strand.
TTTAACCATGTCTGCTTTAGATAGGTTTAATCTTACAAGGATCTATCTACTTATCTTTCTATCTATTTATAATGTATATATCCATTTTAAATAATAATAACAATACATGAATAAATCTGGTCCAAACTTCTATCTTGAGAAATGTAACAGCAATTTTGAACTCCTTCATCCCTCAAGACAATTATTCCTCCCTTCCCAGAGGTAACCATCCTCCTAAATTTGATGTCATTCCCTTAGTTTTTTCTTAAGTTTTACCACATTTGTGTTGTCCCTTTAACATACTTTTTTTTTTAAGCTTTTCCTGTTTTTGAGCTTTATACATATGGAATTATTCTGTATATATTCTTCTTGGGCTTGATTTTTTTATTTATATTACAATTTTGAGATGTCATTTATGTTGACATTGTTAGCCGAAGTTCATTAATTTTTCACTATTTGATATAATATTCCAAATTACTGGAATATGGAATATTCTATGAATATACCACAGTCCATTTTACTGCTGCTTGACACCTCGGTTTCACCTAGTTTTTGGTATGGAAAAAATACTGCTTTAAATATTCTTTTGCGTGGCTCATGGTAGCTAAGTACAAAAGGTTCTCTAGGTTATATGCATAGACCTGGATTGTTGAGTCTTGGGTGTATACACCATCAGCTTTACTAGGTATGGCAGAATGTCTTCTTTTACACAGTTGTGGAATAAGCCAGATGAGTTCAAGAGGAGCAAGTTTGTGAGAGGATGGACAAGTGAGTTAGTGAGTTACATTTCATTTGTTTTGAGTTTTAGCCTATTTAGTTAGAAATGTTAAGTAGGCATTTGAGATGTGTTTACTTTTTTAGCTCCACCCATCTTTGTTTTTTCCTAGGTTGACTCATTCAGGTATGTCATCTCTCCCTTCTCCTTAAAGTGGCCTTTAAAGAAAAAAGTTGCAGGCCGGGCACGGTGGTTTACACCTATAATCCCAGCACTTTGGGAGGCCAAAGAGGGCGGATCACAAGATCAGGAGTTCAAGACCAGCTTGGCCAATATGGTGAAACCGCATTTCTACTAAAAATAAAAAAATTAGCCGAGCGTGGTGACACGTGCCTGTAATCCCAGCCACTTGGGAGGCTGAGGCAGGAGAATCACTGGACCTAGGGAGGTGGAGGTTGCAGTGAGCCGAAATCGTGCCACTGCACTCTACCCTGGGTGACAGAGTGAGACTCTGTCTCAAGGAAAAAATTGCAGTATCATGGTACAACAATTACTTGATCGTAATAGAAGATGTGTTCAGTTTTTATATCTTCAGTCTCAGGCCATCCGTCATATGCAGCCTTTTTGTTTTTATAGACCTTGAACCACAGAACTACATTAAGCTAGTTTGCTGTTTTCCAGGGATGACATAAAGGAGAAGTGGGTAGAGGGTGATGCTGTTATTAGCAAGTGTGCATTCCAGGTAGCGGTTCACAAAGGGGAAAAAACGTAAAGGAAAGACGGGTGCAAGCTAAAACAAATAAGCCAGTAAGTAAAAAACCACAACACTCTTTTGTGATTATTTAGATCTGAAACAAATAGCAGCATGTATTAATAGTCCCTGATGATTTCACTGTATTGTAGCATAACTCTGGTATTCATAATGTCAATTCTGAATTTCTTTATGTGTTGAGAGAGTGTAATCATGCTGATTTTAGCAGATCTGGTGAACCCTTAGCAATCTAGAATCACTCTCTGATAATTCCTGAATTAACAGTAGAAATTTAACTGTTTTATGTGGTGAAATTATTCTAGGAAGCTTGTTCCATGGGACATTTACCTATTAGCTAATAAAACAAATGGTCTATTGATAATTTCTCAAAAGCTCTGTATAAAAAAAAAATATATATACAATAATTTCTCTACTGGCCGAATTGGATTTACTTGGAAAAAGAAAGAGGGTGTTATCAAAAAATTTAAATGTCTTGTTAGGTTCGTAAGTTGTAGAACAAGAATGAGAATGTGCAAGTGTTTTTATGCTTCATTGTTGGGAAGGATAAATTGCAAAAGAACATAGAGCTGGGTGATTTTCTGGGGTTCAGTCTGTTGCGGGTGCCACAGATTGGCACTCCCCTCGGAATTGCCACACCTTCACGGAGCCAGAACAGGAGGGATACGGAGGGAAAGGGCCCTTTCCCAACTTCAGACTGAGCACCCAGAAGTTGACCTGGGACTGCTGTTTTGTTTCTAGGAAACTAGAAACCTTGGCAGAATTGAAATTTCGTAGTGATTTTTTCTTCTTTGCTCTCCAAAAAATAAACTTGTATGTACACACATATGTATATACACTCACACCTACATAAAAGAAAGATAATTTCAAAGAAATAATATATCTCGTATAGTCCTTGAACAGTTATTTTACTATTCAAAGTAGGTTCTTCAAAATTTTTAATTTGAAATAACTAGGTTTACAGGAAATTGCAAAAAATAGTAAGGAGAGGTCCCTTGTGCCTTTCACCTTTCCCTTAATGGTAACTTCTTACTACCCACAGCACAGCATTAAACTAGAAATTGACATTGGTACATTTTATGTGTTTAGTGCTGTGCTGTTTAAACATATATGTAGTTGATTTGTGAACCACTGTGGCATCAAGACACAAATGCTGCCACCACCAAGCTCTCCCTTGTGCTGCACACACCTGCCCCATGGCAGCCAGTAATCTGCTTTTCATCTCTATGATGTTGACATTTCGAGGATATTAATAAATGGAATCACATAGTATGTGACCTTTTAAAATTAGCTTATTTTCACTTGGCGCAATTCCTTGAGATCTATCCAAGTTGTGTGAATCAACAGTTCTTTCCTTTTTATTGCTGAATAGGATTCCATGGTTTGTTTAACCATTCACCTTTTGAAAGATAATCTCTTTCCCTAGTTTTTGGCTTTTAACAGTAAAGCAGCTGTGAACATTCATGTTCAGTTTTTTGTGTGGACATAAATTTTTATTTCTTTGGGAGAGGTGCTGTTAAAGAAAAAAAAATTATTCAGTGACACTTGTTAAAGCATGGGAAGGAAGACATTATTCAGGATCATCCCTGTAAGTGTAGGGACCACTACAATAGTGTCTTACAGTGGGTGGGGAGAGAGCGTGGCCTCAGTGCTGGATGTAGCATGGGGAAGTGGGAATTTGTAGCCAAGGAGCTGGTTGAGGGCCAGTGGATGGAAAATTCTCAAGAGGAAATGTCAGGTGTAAGGGGTTTCTGCCTAAACTGACCGTAACAGGATTCTTTCTTGCTGAAGACAGGCCAAGGTGATCAGACATCAGCTGGAGGGTGGCAGAAGAAGAAGAGGGTAATCAGACACCTTGACGGGAGGTTTGCTAATCTGGCTTAGCAGGGTTCTTTGCTAAAACAGGAATTTACAAGGAAGTACACAGATAGGCCTGGGAGAAAAGTTCAGGAGCCTGGCTCATTTGGTCAAGCAAAGAATCTTTGCCAGAGCCCAGGGGTGTGCAGTTGGTGGCTTACCTGTAAGTAGCTGTGCCATTTTACATGCTCACTGGCAGTGTATGAGAGATCCAGTTTCTTCACATTCGTGTCCACATTTGGTGTTGTCACTATTTTTTTATTTTAGCTGTGCCAGTAGGTGTGCAGCATAGTTTGGTTTGCGTTTCCCTGATGTCTAGTAATGTTGACCATATCTTTTCATGCGCGTATTTGCCGTCTATATATCCTCTTCAATAAAATGTCTTTATATTTCTTGCCCATTTTCTAGTTGAAATTTTTTTCAATTGTTGAGCTTTGAGATTTCTTTATATATCCTAGATGAGGCTTTTATCACATATATTGTTAGCAAATATATTTTCCTAGCCTGTACCTCATTTTTTTGCCTTCTTAAACAGGTCTTTTGTAGAGCAAACATTTTTAATTTTGTTGAAGTTCAGTTTATCGTGTTTTTTTTTCTTTCATGGATTGTATTTTTGGTGTCATTCCCCATTCCCCATTCCCCACTCTCCAGCCCCAGACGGCCACGAATCTACTCTCGGTCTCTGTGAAATTGCCTATTCTGAATATTTCCTATAAGTGGAATCATATGTCTGGCTTCTTTCACTTAGCATATATTCAGGCCTCATCCCTGTTGTATCATGAACCAGTTCTTTTTATGGCTTCGTTTATTTTTAAGGTTGAATAATGTTCCACTGCATGGATAAGACCACATTTTGTTTAGCCATTTGTCAGCTGATCGGCAATTAAGGTTGTTTTCACTTCTTCGTCTGCATCAGTACAGCTGCATGTGTACCCTTCAGCCCTGCACCTTCCTTATACACGATGCACAGATGTACGCATGCGAGTACTTGTGTGTACGGTTTTGTTTTCTTTTTTAAATAATGGAGGATTAACTTATTTTATAGTTTTTTTCTTCGATATTTGGGATGTCTTTTTATGTCTATATAAAAAGATATATCTCATTATTTTAAATGACTATGTAGTGTTTAATGTGACTGCTTAATTGATCCTATTCTAATAAACATTTAGATGACATTGGGTAACTTCTTGTTTTTCTTTTTTATATAACAGTGGCACCAGGCACAGTGGTTTATGCCTATAATCCCAGCACTCTGGGAAGCCAAGGCAGAAGGATCACTTGAGCCCAGGAATTTGAGACCTGCCTGGGCAACATAGAGAGACCTTATTTCTACAAACGAACAAACAAACAAAAAATTATCCAGGCTTGTTGGCACTTGCCTGTAGTCCCAGCTACTTTGGAGGCTGAGGTGGGAGGATCACTTGAGCCCAGTAGGTGGAGGCTACAGGGAATTAGGATTACACCACTGCACTCCAGCTTGGGTGACAGAGCAAGACCCTGTCTCAAATAAAAAAATAGTGACACTAATCATCCTTGTACAAGTGTCTTTTTTGGTGCATAGCTCATTTTACCTACTTTTGGATTTTTCTCTTCAATGCCATTTGTCATTAACTTATTTAGAAGTGTATTGATTACCTCCTATAGGCCAGGCACTGTACTGTGTATCAGACACTAGGGACACAAGCACTAGTAAAATGCTATGGCTATACTCAAGTTTTTTGTAAAGATGATATACCTATAAGTAGGTAATCATGGTTCACTGTGATAAGTGCACAATGTGTTATTACTAGAATCCTGTGGAACGAACTGTAGCAGAAGGTAAGGCAGGTTACGTTAAATAGATTGAAAACAGATTATAGCAGTCTGTGAATGCCCTTCTAATGAATTTGGACTTCATTTTGTACATAATTAGAAATCATTGAAAAAGGCCGGGCGCGGTGGCTCATACCTGTAATCCCAGCACTCTGGGAGGCCTAGGCGGTTGGATCACGAGGTCAGGAATTCGAGATGAGCCTGGCCAAGATGGTGAAACCCTGTCTCTACTAAAAATACAAAAGTTAGCTGAGTGTGATGGCACATGCCTGTAGTCCCAGCTACTTGGGAGGCTGAGGCAGGAGAATTGCTTGAACCCGGGAGGCAGAGGTTGTGGTGAGCTGAGTTCGTGCCATTGCACTCCAGCCTGGGCGACAAGAGCGAAACTCCGTCTAAAAAAAAAAAAAAAAAGAAATCATTGAAAAAATGTAGGCACACTTAAATTTTTTAACTTTAGTAAATTTTTGTGCTGTGACTGTTTTAGAACACTTTATCACCTCCCACAATCACTGCCTTCTACCTCCTCATCTAGGCAACCACTGCTTATTTTCTGTCTCTAAATTTGCTTTTCCTAAACATTTATGCGTTGGAAACATACAGTATGCAGTATTTTTACATTGGCTTCTTTCATCTAGCGTGTCTTTGAGGCTCATGTATGCTGTAATGTGTATCAGTATTTTGTGCCTTTTTACTGCCTAATGATATTCCATTCTGTGGTGATGACAATTTATGTGCTCAGCAATTGATGGATGTTTGGATTGTTTCCAGTTTTTGGTTATTATGAACAAAGCTGCTATGAACATCTGTAGATAAATCTTTGTGTGGGCACATATTTCTCTTGGGAAAAGGAAATTTTGGATCCTGTGATAAGTTTATATATAACTTTAAGAAATTAGGGCATGGTGGCTCACGCTTATAATCCCAGTGACTCGGGAGACTGAGGCGGGAGGATTGCTTGAGCTCAAGAGGTCAAGGCTGAAGTGAGCCATGATTGGGCTACTGCACTCTAGCCTGGACAACAGAGTGAGACCTCACCTCTAAAAGAACAAAGAAAAAAAATTTACAGACTATTCCTCAAAGTGACTGCATCATTTTACAGTCCTGTCAGCAATGTATGCGGGTTCCAGCTTCTCCAGATGCTCGACACTTGGTATTGTCTTTTGATTATGGCCATTTTAATGGCTGTATAGTGTATCTCATTGTAGTTTTAACTTGCATCTTCCTAATGACAGGGTGTTTATAATCTTTTCATGAAGCATAGTTATATTTTAGAGACATGAGTCCAATGAATAGAGGTAAGAATGGAGGTGAGCTACATGAAAGATGAGAGCCTACGTCAGACAATATGTGTAGAGATGGGGAGACATTTTAAAGATACGTGTATCAGAGCTAGAATGAGCAGCATTTAGTAACTCCTGAGTATAATAGATGAAGCAGAGGGAGGTGGGGCTTGTGATCCCAAGATTTTAAACTTCGGCAATTGGGCACTTTTTGGCTAACGGTGCTGCCATTAGCCAAAAAGTGACTGCCGGTACATAAACAGATTTTGTGCTGGTGGTTGATGGCTTTTATATTGATCTTATTCTCTTGATGTGCCACTGGAATAAACATTTAATAGAGTGTTTGGAAACATGTATCTAGTTCAAAAGAAGGATCTGGGCTGAGGTATAAATTTAGGGCAGTTTACATTGTGTAGGGAACAACTAAATTCATGGAAGTAAATGATGTATCTGTTCCTAAGTCACCCTATCTGCTGAGTTACTTGTGACAAATTGTTTAAACAGTAAAAGAATTTAATATGAAAAGATACACGTTAAGATGATTCTAGGATTAATTCATTCAGGCATGACAGCATCACCAAGGACCCAGGTTCTTTCTATCTTTTAATGCTGCTGCTGTTCTTGATCTGTTGGGTTGTCCTCATGGTCCAGTTCTTGTTTACACATTCAAACCCAGAATTGCATGCAAAAAGGCTGGGAGCATGTGTTTTTACCTGGGTCTTTTTTCATCAGCCAAGAAAACTTTTCCTAAAAGCTCCCTAGCAAACTTACTTTCTTGTCTTCTTGGCCAGAATTGCATTAGGAATGTGTTACCAGACTACCCACTGGCAAGGGGAATGGAAATTGTCACAGTTGGTTCAGACCAGAGCTTTCTAGCCCAAGTATTTTTTTCTGTTATCTCTTCTGGAAGAAGCCTTTTCCCCTTGCCTTTTGAGTCTCTTCTGTAGTTCAGGTAAGTTAGATTTTCTATGCAACCCAGTTTTGTATCATTGAGTTGTTACTATTCAATACTTCACAACAGCAAATACTTGCCAAAATCCTACACTGTGTCATGCTGGATTCTAGGATACAGAAATGAATAAGAAACTTGTAGTTTGACATAGATACAAGCTTAAACAGAAGAGTGCTATGATAGATTTGTACACTAAAGTTCTTTTGGACTATGGATTTAGTACAACTGTTTATATGTTTGGTTTTATGAGTAAAGGCATCTTGAGTTTCAAAATCAACCTTATATTCAATTTATAAATGAAGTTTTGGAAATTTAGAACGCAACCCATTCATGAGTTGACCCTCCCTTTCTAGTTAGGTGGTTACATGTTTATTATAGGGGTGCATGGTATACTATCCTAAAGTAACTGTTCATTTGAGTTATTTACAGCTAAAACCACATTATGTTTTTCTGGAGCATAATGTTTGTGTTTTCTAGTTATCGTACCAAAGTAAACAGTAATATCTTTAGCTTAAGAACCCAACTGAAATGTTTGTAAAATATAGATTGTTTTGTAATTTGGCTCTTTTTTTTTAATGGTCCTATGAATGCAACTATAGTGTTTGCAGTATTTGTACAGTGCATGGGGTGCTTTTTCTGGGTGCTGAGAAGGGAGGAGAAATGATAGGGAAGAGGGGATTTGGAGTAGCCGAAGGAAAAAATGTGCAATCAGTGTTGTTGATTCCACCGAATTCTAAGAATTCCATTACATCTTGATATCTGGTACAAGCTCAAAGTTAATCTTAAATTTTGGCTTAGGGCATGGCCGTACTTGCTGGCTACTTGGGAGGCTAAAGCAGGAGGATCCTTAGAGCCTGGAAGGTCAAGGCTGCTGTGAGCCATGACCGTGCCACTGCACTCCAGCCTGAGTGACAGAGTGAGACCCTGTCTTTAAAAAGAAAAAAAGAAAAAAAAAAAAAACAGAAAAAAAACAAACAAGTGTCCAGGAGTGGTGGCTCACGCCTGTAATCCTAGCACTTTGGGAGGCTGAGGCGGGCGGATCATGAGGTCAGGAGTTCAAGACCAGCCTGGCCAACATGGTGAAACCGCATCTCTACTAAAATACAAAAATTAGCTGGGCATGGTTAATCCCAGCTACTGGGGAGGCTGAGGCAGGAGAATGGCTTGAACCCAGGAGGCAGAGGTTGCAGTGAGCTGAGATCGTGCCACTGTACTCCAGCCTGGGTGACAAGCAAGACTCTGTATCAAAAAAAAAAAAAAAAAAAAAAAAAAAAAAAAAAAAAAAGGTGTTTTGGCCTAGATTGAGTAAAAGAATATTTACACTATTCTTTTCTGTAAAGCAAATCTTACTAATAATAGAAATCAGTGGGTGACATTCTGAAACCTTATAGATAACTGTTATGATATCCATAATCAGTGCTTGTCCTTGGATTCTGCATGGGTAGTGAGCTTTAAAGTATCTTGTTGGTTTAAGATTTAACCATTTTAATAATTTTGAAAACCAAGATGGATGCATACATTCTGATGACAAGAAAAGATGTTTTGTAAGGGAAATGTGGAATTAAAATGAACTTTTTGTGTTTGTTTGCAAATAATTATTAATGTTGAAGAAATTTTGATGTTAGCTCTGAGTTATGAATGTTAGAATATATTTAGAAATGTTTGATTTTCATTTTTCCATGTCATTAAGAAGCTTGCATATGTTTTTTAAAGAATTGCCTTCTTTTTAATGTGTTTTCTACAACTAATAGGCTTAGAAATTTCAGACACAAAATCTTTGAAAAAATGACTTGTACTTACTTAGCGTTTTGTTTTGACTAACACCCCTGGTGGTTGTTGAACCACAAGTTCATAGTGTTAAAAGCCTGTGGTAAATTACCCAGTAAGCTAAGTGATTAAAGTTGTTTGGAACATTTTGCTCATGTACATCTTATTTTTATGTGTATACATATTTATAGATCTGTGCTCATAGGACTATAGCACTATATTGCAAAGGTCCTAACCTTTATTCACACAACTTCCAGTGTGTACAATGTGACTTGCAGAGCTGTACTGTGGAGCATATCCTTTCCTGTGTCTTTTGTTTACCTCTGAGTAATGAAGTCAAATCTTACTTGATTTTCCTTGGCTGGTCTATTTTATTTTATTAAGTTCTGGGATACATGTGCGGGACTAGCTAGTCTTAAATTCAGTCTTTAGGAAACGTTTTCTGGGCTGGGCACAGTGGCTCATGCCTGTAATCTAAGCACTTTGGGAGGCCGAGGCAGGCGGATCACTTGAGGTCAGGAGTTCGAAATCAGGCTGGCCGACATGACGAGACCCTGTCTCTACAAAAAATATAAAAATTAACCTGGCATGGTAGTGTTCGCCTGTAGTCCCAGCTACTCAGGAGGCTGAGGTGGGAGGATTCCTTAAGCCCAGGAATTCGAGACCAGCCTGGGCAACACGGCAAAACCCCATGTCTACAAAAAATATAAAAATTAGCTGGGCATGGTTGTATGTACCTGTAGTCCCAGCTACTCGGGAGGCTGAGGCCGGAGGATTATTTGAGCCCAGGAGGTGGAGGCTGCAGTGAGCTGTGATTGTGCCACTATACGCCAGCCTGGGTAATGGAGCCAGAGCCTGTCTCAAAAAAGAAAAAGAAGAAAAGGTTTTCTGAAGTTTATGTTAAGTGTTTGTACATGTGGGAAAACAGGGAAGAACAGATCATCTGGGGTTTTGGACTTTTGAAGATGGGATGTTTGAAAGCTCTTTTGGTTATGTTATTCGCTATTTTTTAAACTTTAGATTTAGCCTGAAGCCTAAAACTTTTAGCCAAGGAAACAATGTTTTAGTAAATGGTGCTGTAATAAACAATAGTTGGTAAGTAGTTTACATGTTAATTTTATAATGATACATTGGAAATATCTGGCAGAATTAGAATCAGGCTGTGTGTGTGTGTGTCTGTGTGTGTGTGTGTGTGTGTGTGTGTAATCAGGCTGGTCTCGAACTCCTGACCTCAAGTGATCCACCCACCTCAGCCTCCCAAAGTGCTGGGATTACAGGCATGAGCCACTGCACCTGGCCAGGCCATATATTTTTGAAACAGACACTTTGATGGACTGTTTTTACTTTTATGGGGATAAATTCATTTGAACTTTGTTTAATACAGTGATTGCCTGCTCTCTCTCCCACACCCTTAGGGAAGAATGGTGTAGTTGGCAAAGAATGGCTTTGGAGGAAAATCTCTTTATGCCATTTCTAAAATGGAAATAGTGCATTTCTTTTCTTGATTAGTAAAAGGGAAATTAAAGATTATGAGCATCTCAGAAGAACACTGAACACCAACTCTTTATTTTTGCCTTCCCTCATTTCTCTGAGCGACAGCCTGAGAGTTTTATAGTCATATGAGGACTCTGAAAAATGTTAGAGACCTGGCTAAGTTGTAGGTAACTAGTGCATTGAGAAGACTGAAAGGCTCCTGAATGCAGACAAAGCATTACTAATTGCATTCAGGGTCAGGCTGTCTTTAGCCGGACCATGAAAGATACAGCAGCCTGTCTGCTGAGCGGAGACTCTTGTCTTTAAGAAAGACTGCTACCTGATATGCTAGACCGTTTCAGGTTGCCCTAGTTTACATGAATTTAGTCATTATCGCCAAGACTGCTAAACCTCAGTGTGATACTTCTAAATGGACTTGAAGACAAGGTATTTGACCTTGCAATGGGGCATAGGCAACGTTCATACAGTTTTTAAAACACGAAACAGAATACTTTGCTATTTGAAGTTTCCGTTAAAAGATTGAATGATTTTTAAGATCGCAAAGTAAACAGCAGACATACCTTTAGAAATTTTTTTATGACTTGAACCCAGGAGGCGGAAGTTGCAGTGATCCGAGATGGCACTACTGCACTCCAGCCTGGGCGACAGAGCAAGACCTTGTCTCAAAAATAATAATAATAATAATTTAAGCTTTAATAGTTCTATCTTTTAGATTTATGAATGCTTGCCCCTTAAAGGGTAAGGTGTTAATAGCAGTACTAATATACGGTAGTTTAGACCTATTCCACAGGCATAGACCAACCAGTGCAATTAATTCTTCAACCTCACAAGTCCTAATGTTCTAGGTAGAAGTGTGGCTGAAATTAAAACTGGTTATTAGACTTTGTAATACAAAAGTAGAAAAAAGTGATATTAGCTAGGTGGTCCAATATATTTTTGTCTAAGTAGGAATCTGAATATTGTAGAATTGTACATTTCGGTGCTGCTTCTAGCTATTCCTGTTCTTTTTTTTTTTTCAAATTGAGATGAGTTTTTTTTTTTTCCATCAAAGCTTAAGATAACATAGGAATTTTATATGGAAGTACTGTTCCCACAGAACTAACTTTACAAATGTAAAGCTTGGGCAGAGGTTGAGGAAAATGGTAAAGTGATAGATTTCGTAAAAACTGTAGAAATTTTCATTGACTTTACTTTGAAAATGTATAGTTGTACATGCGAAACGCTTCTAGTATTGCTTCTAGATGTATTATTCTGACAAAGTTCCCTAAGTCTTAAATAAGTTCTTTTTTTTTCTAAACAGACTTATGAAAATATGCATCAGTTTAATACTGTCTTGGAATTCATGAGATGGAAGCATAGGTCAAAGCTGTTTGGAGAAAATCAGAAGTACAGTTTTATCTAGCCACATCTTGGAGGTAAGGAAAAGAACATAATTTAGAATAATATGAAATTTCTCATTTTTTAATAGTTGAAAATAATCCTTCTACACTGCAACTTTATTTGAGCCTTCTTCAGTTTCTTTGTAACACCACAACTTTATAGTAGCTTCTTTAGTTTCCTTAATCATCTTCCTGACGAGTTCATAAGTAATTCTAATATATATTCCTCATAAATGTTGAACCTCTTCAGGAGTGAAAGGTATTTATTTCTTACTAATCACTTTCATAAATCTCCTTTTAGAAGATAAGCATTAAATGGTTTATATGTTTATTTCTTCCCCCTAAGTTTGCAAAGCAGAGTTCAGCATGCAAGATTAGGCCAGGTGTGCCTGTAATCCCAGCACTTTGGGAGGCTGAGGCAGGTGGGTCACATGAGGCCAGGAGTTCGAGACCAGCCTGGCCAACATGGCGAAATCTCGTCTCTACTAAAAATGCAGAAATTAGCTGAGCATGATGGCCTAAGCCTGTGATCCCAGCCACCTGGGAGGCTGAGGCATGAGAATTGCTTGAACCCAGAATGCAGAGGTTGTAGTGAGCTGAGATCATGCCGCTGTACTCCATTCTGGGCAACAGAGTGAGACTCTGTCTCAAAAAAAAAAAAAAAAAAAAAGATTATATTGAAAAATGAATGTTTATGTTATTCTGAAATTTTTACGCTTTTTAGAATTCAGAATTTTTTTTTTTTTTAAGACAGGATCTTGCTTTGTCACCCAGGCTGGACTGCAGTGAGCATAGTTTCAACTCCCTGGGCTCAAGCGATCCTTCTGCCTCAGTCTCCCACATAGCTGGGACTACAGGCACACATCACCATGCCCAGCTAATTTATTTTTTGTAGAAACAGGGTCTCATTATCCCTCTGTGTTGCTCAGGCTGGTCTTGAACCCCTGGACTCAAGTGATCCTCCCACCTCAACCTCCCAAAGTGCTGGGATTACAGGCATGAGCTACCAGACCCAGCCCAGGATAAGATTTTTTAACATGTTAGAATAATAGATCTTTGGAAATAGAATTTAAAGAGGTAGGAGCTGCCATCATGCCAGAAATAGGAGGAAAGAAGCCATCCTAAGACAGTATGTACAGGAAAATCAGGCTTACTGTTTTAAAATCCATTTAGAGACTAATGATCAGGTAAAAGGTTTGAATTATGTGGGGAATCTACATTTTAAGAAATAGATAGAATGTATGGTTTTATGAAGTGGTCTACGCTTACACTTCTGGAAGTGGCAGGCTTTGCTTGCTGCTACTGTTAATACTTGCAGCATTCACTCGCCCTTCTCCTGCCCCTGCCAAACCGCTGGATTAGATCTTCTAAAAAATAACGTAACTCTCGAATTCTTTTGTTAGGTTTCATATTGTTTGATTGGTAGAGTTGTGATCGTTTTTTTCTTTCTCAGTTCTTTTGGTTTCTATGATTGTGTGCTCTTCTGATTCTACTTATTTAATTACTCCTTGACCTTTTTTCCTTCCCCTCCTACTCTTAAATAATAATGACCTTCCCCAAGGTTTTATCTTAGAAATTATCCTGTTTTTTTCTTATGTCTTTCCTAGTCTCATGATTTCCGCAATTATCTCTAAAATGATCTCTCTCAACTTCCTATCTCAGTTGTGGCATTTTCTCTAAGCTTCAGGCCCATATTTTCATCTGTTTACAGATGGCTCAGCTTAGTGCCTCAGACTTCCCATTATCTAGCACATCATTCATCATGAGCTCTGCACCCGCTATTTCTCCTTCTGTTAATGGACCTCTTTGTCACCCAGGCTCAGAGTCTCAGTGCTGTTTCGGATTCCTCATCATTTGCTTCCTACCCTTAGGCACAAGTGAAGTCCTGTCAGTTTTACCTCTCTAATGTATCACAAATGTTTGAATCCTCTCTTTCCGAATCCCCCTTCACCATCCAAGTTTAGGTCTTTATGTTACATCTCACTGAAAATATTGCAGGGATCTCCCAGCTTGTGCTGCTTCTCGCTCCTACTTCATTTTACATGTTGCTGCCAGCTTAAATTATCTTAAGAGATAATTTTGCTTGTATTGTCGGTGACACTTTGCCTGTCTGCCAGAGTAAGGACAGATTCCTCTAATTTTAAAGATAGTGTAGCTTTGCCTTCATCTGTCCATTTCTTTCACCCTTTAAACATTTATTAAACACCTACTGTATGCCAGGCACTGTGTTAGGTCAGAATGCAAAACATTAAATAAAAACAGGTTCCTAGCTATACTCAAAAAATAGTCTTTCTAGGGTTGGATGAGCATGAAAACAATTATTGAAGTGCAATCTGAGAAGTGCTATATTATAATTGAAAAGATATATTTGATTATTCCACACTGTGTACATAGATGATAACTATAACATCACTGATATGCCCATAATTACATACAGCTATAATTTTCAAAAGAATTTGAAAATACAGGTGACCATGTCAGAAAACAAAGGTGTATTGGCATCACCTGGAAAGACTACACCAATGTTATGAGAGGAGAGAATTGTCAGGCAGGCTTCACAGAAGAGATAATATTTGAGCAGAGTCTTGATGGATGAATAGAAGATTGCTGAATAGAAATTGGAAAGTGTAATACTGTAAAATACATATGTGTTTTTGATGCCATTTCCTGGCATTCAACTCTTAAAATCCTTGAAACCTCTGAAGTGATGTCTTTTTGTATGCTAATGAGTTAACTGGTAGATGACAGCCCCCTAGGTAGCTTTAGGATGGGGGCTGGTCAGCAGAAAGACTAAGGCAGGATTAGAGTCAGAACTTTCAGTTCCCGCCCCCACCAACCCCCAACATTTAGGGAGGGGAGAAGGGCGAAGGTTAAGTTGATCACCAGTGACCCGTGGTTTAATTAGTTGTGCCTACAGAATGAACGTTCCATAAAAATCCAAAAGAACTGGGTTCAGAGAGCTTCTGGATAGCTGAACATGTGCAGGCTCTGGTGCCCTGTACATCTCTTTATCTGTCCTTTGTAACATCCCCTATAATAAACCTGTAAACATAAATGTTTCCTTGAATTCTGTCAGCCGCTCTAAGCAAACTAATAGAACCTGAAAAAGGGGTTGTGGGTACCTGGATTTATGGCTGGTTGGTCAGAAGCACAGGTAAAATAACCTGGGCTTGCCATTGGCATTGGAAGTGGGGGCCGTCTTGAGGATGGATCCCTCAACCTGTGGGATCTGATGCTGTCTCCAGGTGGGTAGTGTCGGAATTTAATTGGAGGTTCCAGCTGGTGTCTGATGCAGAATTGTCTGCTTGCTTGTTGATGGGGAGAAACCCTCACACATTTGGTAAGAAAAGTCTTCCCTGTTGATTGTTTTGGTGAGAGGGCAGAGGAAAAATAGTTTGAGTGTTTTCCATACTCACAGAAGGCAAGGGAATTAATTTCATGCAGAGCCCAGAGCGGGGTGGAGGCAGAGCTTGAAAGTGTATAGAATGTACAGAAGATAGAATAATTTTTGTATGGCTTGAATTTAGAATAGGAGAGAGAGTTTGAGGGACAAGGCTGGAAAGGACCTTATGAAGAATTTTGAATGCCATGGCAAGGAGTCTAGACTTTATTTTGTGAAAAATGGGCAGTCATTGAAAAATTTTAACATTTAAAGATATTTTGGATCGTAATTTTTTGTTAAAATTAATATGATGGTTGTGTTAGTCAGTTTTCATGCTGCTGACAAAGACATACCCAAGACTGGGCAATTTGTAAAGGAAAGAGGTTTAATGGACTCATAGTTCCATGTGGCTAGAGAGGCCTTACAATCATGGCAGAAGGTGAAAGGCACATCTTAGGTGGCAGCAGGCAGAGAGAATGAGAGCCAAGTGAAAGGGGAAACCTCTTACAAAATCATCAGATCTTGTGAGACGTATTCACTACCAAGAGAACAGTATAGGGGAAACTGCCCCCATGATTCAATTATTTCCCACTGGGTCCCTCCCACAACATGGGGGAATTATGGGAGCTACAATTCAAGAGGAGATTTGGGTGGGGACACAGCCAAACCATATCGTTGGTGATATGAATGGTAGTTTGGAAAAAGGAAAAACTAAAACTAGAGAGACAAGTTAGGCTATTCTTAACTGTTTCAAGCAAGAAATAATGAAGCTGTCAACTTAAGATGGAGGTCAACTTACCCGTTTAAGCATTGGTTGTTTAGAAAATGTTTAATTTTCTTCTATTCCCCTATGTACTATACTCTTCAGCTGGTGATTTGAAATCGTCCTTCCTTTTCTCTACTCTCTTCTCTTGGCATATTTTTGGCCCTTTCTCTCTTGTGGAGTGCCTGTGAACTTTAAAAACCCCATCTCAAATGCCAATTCATCCCTAAAGTTCTTTCTAATCTGTATTGCTTTGACTCTAAATATATGTCTTTTCCTAGTCTAAAGCCCCCAAAGCACTTATTTTTATTCTACAGGATATTACTTTTTTGGTCCCTATTAAACTATGTGGCAGCAAGTCACAAAGGAGGAATCAGAAAGTAACCTGCTCCCCACCCTTGGTGTGTAGTCCAGTTAGCAAGGTATGTATATAAGTAATATAAGTAATGATAACCAACATTGCCATGCAAAAGTGAGGAATGCCACAGGAGTAAATTGTTGCTTCTAGTCAGAGTCCTGTAACTGAGAAGCACAGGTAGAACATAGGAGGTTATGTGAGCTGAGCTTTGAAAGATGAGTAAAATTTAGATGGGTAAAGGATATTTCTGGAAAAGTGCATGGATAGAAAATGAATGTTTTTGTAGGAATGTGGTGAAGGTCTTAGAAAGGGCAGGAAGTATGATGTGAAGAAAGCTCTTTTAGTGAAATTACTCTAGCAGTGACATATAAACTATACATCATTAGAGAAATGAAGTGAGGAGGTAGGGAGCCGAGTGAGGAGATTGTGGCACTAGTTAGGCATAAGCTGATCAGAATTCAATCAGGGTGGTGATTGTGGAAATAGAAAAGAAAGACTCAATGATAAAGGTATTGCGGCAGAAGAAGGGACACCGATGTGTGACTAGATGTTGGAAAGAGATGATGCCGCCTGAATTTTGAGCCTGGATGGTGGGGATAATGTTGGCCTCATTAGTAGCCAAGGTAAGTTGGATCCTACTTTTCTAAATGTAGAGAAACATTAAAATTTATGTTTTACTGTACTGTTGGTCTCTTAATTTGTTTATGTGCAACAAGTTTTTTTGGCATTATTTTTCCAGCCTTAACATATTCAAAGGGAGATTTTATGAAAAAAGCAAAGTATGACCTCTTTTACAAAAGCAGTTTTTAAGGAAATAAACTGTATTCTGTTCATAGTTACCTCTTTTGCTATCATGTTAAATGCTATGTAAGATTTAGTAAAACTTAAGAATGTTTAAAGTATTTCTACAGGTATAATTCAGACACCATTACCAAAGGATGGTATCTTGTTTTAATAGAATTACCGCTTAAGGAATGGGGACCTGTGAAAAATTCATTCAGTAGAATTCGATGGTTCCATATTAACAGATAGGCATTATTATGGTACTGTCCATTAGAGAAATATTGTACAGTAAGGCAGTAAGTTAATTATATAAAACTGGCTTTTAAAATGCATTTATTAAAATTCTTATCAACTGTTAACTGATGACTGATTTAGAACTTTGCAATATTTAGAAACAGTCTAATACTCTCTGTTGAAAATAATCACTAATTGTTTTATAATTATAATTATACATGTGTAAAACTGGAAGACATTACATTATTGAGGAAGGAAGGCATTTGTGTTTTGTTTGTTTTTTAAGTCAGGCTTTGTGTTGAACTATTATTTTTTATTTATTTATTTATTTAGATGGAGTTTCACTCTTGTTGCCCAGGCTGGAGTGCAATGGCACAATCTTGGCTCACTGCAACTTCTGTCTCCTGGGTTCAAGTGGTTCTCCTGCCTCAGCCTCCCGAGAGGCTGGGATTACAGGCACCCGCCACCACGCTCAGCTAATTTTGTATTTTTAGTAGAGATGAGGTTTCGCCATGTTGGCCAGGCTGGTCTTGAACACCTGACCTCAGGTGATCTGCCCACCTCAGCCTCCCAAAGTGAGCCACTGTGCCCAGTGCAGCATACTCTGTTTACAAGCACAAGCAGTGTAGCCAGAGGACTTCAGTTTGAATCTTGACTTTACCACTTAGTTTGTGTTCCCTTGAAAGAAGAGCCTGAGAAAAAGACTTACTGGCTGATAGGTTATTTGGGAGATGAACCAAAAAGCAGAAGTGAGAGAATGGGAAAAGTGAGACAGAGAAGGGAGTGAAGTTTCATTAAGTGGGTGATCCAGTTCCCCCTGCGGGCAGCTGGGCTTCAGCCCTGTGGGTGTCTTCTGAATGTACCTCACTGTTGTCCCACCAAAGGACAGGGAGCCTGAGACATGCATGCACCAACTTTCACCTGTTGTTAATTGAAGGTTGCTCCGTGAGCTTTAACTCCGGCAGGTCTGTGCTTGTGCCTCCATGCTGTTGAGCAGTCTCCCTTAGGTTTGCAAAGTCTCCGAGGAACAAAACAGAGCAGTGCCTCCACTCCCACTTGAGTCAGGTGCTGTGCATGCCACATAGACCTGCCCACCAGAGCCACAGTGCGGAGAGGGGTGAGCTGCAGAGCACCACGAAGGTCTGCTGTGGTCTGCCCCTTTTACCAGTGAGACTCCCTCATGCCCCATTAGATCTACTCTGTCACTGACCCTGCAGATTGGTGGCTGATTATGATCACTAAAAGAAATATCTAACAGGTGCAGTGGCTCACGCCTGTAATCCCAGCACTTTGGGAGGCTGAGGCGAGTGGATCATGAGGTCAGGAGATCGAGACCATCCTGGCTAACATGGTGAAACCCCGTCTCTACTAAAAATACAAAAAATTAGCCGGGTGTGATGGCGGGCGCCTGTAGTCCCAGCTACTCGGGAGGCTGAGGCAGGAGAATGGCGTGGACTCGGGAGGTGGAGCTTGCAGTGAGCCAAGATCGTGCCACTGCACTCCAGCCTGGGTGACAGAGCGAGACTCCGTCTCAAAAAAAAAAAAATTATATATATATAGATATATGTATATATCTCTGAAACAAGAGGGTTAAAATCCCTACCACTGCAGCTGGTCCTGAGCTCTTATTTCCATCCTTGACATTCATATGAGAATGCTCTAAGAGCCCTCAGTTGTGCTGGCAGTAGGGTGTTCTCTGGGTAGGGAAGGCAAGCCCGCATCTGGAGTGTTGGTTCTGCACCCTCCTTGTTAGCTGGCATTTGGCAGTGGCAGTAGTTAGGTCACCCTTCATAAGAAGGAGCCCATGCTGTTGGGCCTATGTAGAGCCTTCCTCTCTGTCACTCCACAGGCTCCATTGACGGGCCTGGTACTCCAGCCTTGGGAAGAAGCTGGCTGACAGCACTGACAAGCCATCCTGTCTGTCCTTGGGGTGTAGTTGAATGCCTCTTCTGTGGGAGGTGCCTTGTGTTGGGCATTCACATAAGATAAAGATTGGCACTTTGTGTTCCCTGCCTTAGGGCCGTCAGCGTGCCTCTTCTCCAGGCTTCTGGTCTCTTATTTCCTTTTTGGACCCTTTTAATACAAAAATTAGCCGGGCATGGTGGTACATGCCTGTAATCCTAGCTACTCGGGAGGCTGAGGCAGGAGAATGGCATGAACCCTGGAGGTGGAGGTTGCAGTGAGCCAAGATTGCGCCACTGCACTTCAGCCTGGGCGACGAAGCAAGACTCTGTCCCCCGCCGCCCACACACACACAAAAAAAATTAACCACACACCCACTTGCTTCTGTAGAGAAACCTAGAACTCCTGGTCTCAGAAATGTCATCCAGGTCTCGCTTTCAGGCTTTTTGATTATTCTGCAACTCCAGAAAAAGAGGCTGTTTAGTCCCACTCTCTTCCATTCAGACTGTCTCCTCTTAAGTTTTAAAGATACTATTATTTTTTCTTAATTTAAGCTTAGCGGATTTACTTCTGGTTTTGATCCCTCTCCAGTTTGGGTGCTTTAATTTTATTTATTTATTTATTTAGAGGTGGAGTCTCGCTCTGCTCTCTGCTAATTTTTGTATTTTTAGTAGAGATGGGGTTTCACAATGTTGGCCAGGCTGGTCTTGAATTCCTGACCTCAAGTGATCTACCCACCTTGTCCTCCCAAAGTGCTGGGATTACAGACGTGAGCCCCTGCGCCTGGCCCATTTGGGGTACTTTTAGATGCAGACGGTGGTTTGGGAACTTGCAGCTCCATATGGTATAGTGGGGAGAGCATGCCACAAGGTTTTCAGGTAATATGAGGTTTTCTCCTCATATTCTCTTACTACACTTCAATTCCTAACTTTATCTTCCAGCCTAATAATTTCTCTCTTGCACTACTGTCTTATGGTTTCAACTGTGAAAGGTAATTTCCAGTCTCGGTGTCACAGATACTCCAGTTTAACCTCTGATTATATCTTATGTATTCTTTCTTCCTTCCTTTTGTTTCTCCCTTCCCTGCTCTGTCTTTTATAGGGCAGGGGTTAGGGAACGTCTCATTGCCCCTTTTGTTTTTCTTTTTCCTCATTGCCTCTTTTTAAAATGATCTTTTTTTTATTTTTAAAAGATTATATATTGGCCAGGCACGGTGGCTCATGCCTGTAATGCCAACACTCTGGGAGGCCAAGGTGGGAGGATTGCTTGAGGCCAGGAGTTCGAGACCCCATCTCTATTTAAAAATACACACACACGTGTGTATGTGTGTGTATAAAGATTATGTAAGCAGCCTATTAATAAGTTCCTATATAAAATTTTAAACACTATGCACCAAAGCCTTTTAGTCCCTCTTCCCCACCCTTCACCCCATTGCCCTCCTCACCACCCTCCTTGCCCTCCATCCCACTGCCATCTTGGGGACCTCTGTTTCTTAGGTTATTGGTCTGTTTGTGTATTCCATTCCCTGTTGAGTTAATTTTTGTATTAATATCTTTATAGAAAATGATACTTTTTTTTTTTTTTGAGATAGAGTCTCCATCTGTCGCCCAAGTTGGAGTACAGTGGTGCCATCTTGGCTCACTGCACCCTTCGCCCCCCGGGTTCAAGCAATTCTCCTGCCTCAGCCTCCCAAGTAGCTGGGACTACAGGCGCCTGCCACCACACCTGGCTAAAGTTTTGTAGTTTTAGTAGAGATGGGGCTTCATCATGTTGGTCAGGCTGGTCTTGAACTCCCGACCTCAAGGCCGAACTGCCTTGGCCTCCCAAAGTGCTGGGATTACAGGCGTGAGCCACCACGCCTGGTCCATACAGTTATTCTTGATTTTCAGATTTATTCTTATAAAATTATGCCTAATGAGAATATCCCTCTCATAAAGTTAGTGTGAAGATTAAGGAATTTAACATATGAAGTATGTAGAACAGTGCCTGGCCTATAGAGCTCTAAGTGTTAACTATTATTTAATATTATTATGCTTGAATATTTATAATTATTTTTGGTAGGCCTCCTTGTACTTCGTATTATTTATTTGTTCTTTATTTTTGTGCTTAGACTTCCTAGGGATATTGAACTTTCTAGATAATTTCATGGGTCTTTTCAAAGAGCCAGCATTTTGGTTTTATAAATTAACTCCACTTTTTTGTTATATATTTAATAATTTTTGCTTTTAACATACTACCTTTTCTTCCTGCCTTTGGTACCCATTCTTCCATCTCGGTTACACATAATATTCTTCTATTTTTAAACATTTTTCTGTTGTTTCTGAGGATTTAGGAGCAGTAGGAACACATTTGTTTATTCTCCCAGCCTTAGTTAGAGCTGCTTGTATATTTTCAAAAGCTTCTTGCACCTCTGTCTCCTGATGGTCTGTAATTTTTCCAGCAACCCAGGATTTAAATCTGGGAACCACCTATGACAACTGCATCTCTGCTTTCTATCAGATCTAGAAGTTGCTAAATTTTATCAGCCCCCCCTCTATAATAGTTTTCTTCCACTTCCCTATTCTCATTGCCTCTTGGTTGGGATGGTTACTTCTTGTGTGAACTACTGTAATTACCCTTTGGCTTATCTACCTCACCCTGTCCCTTTCATCCCATGTAATGCTTCAAGAGTGATTTTTCTAAACCATGGTGCACTCACTTCTTTGCTCTGAAACCTCCAGTGATTTCTCCTTGTCTGCTGAGTAAAGTTCAGGCTACTTTACACTAGCATTTGAGAATCTTATGAATTAATTCCTGCCTACACTTAATCATTCTTTATTCCTTTGTTCTTTAGGAAAAATCGTAATTGGTAAGATAAACCAAATATAAAACTATATAGTAATGCTGTTTTTCAGTCTTACTGATCTCACTCTATTCCTTATCTTTACCATGCTTTTCTGACTTTGTGCTTTTGCCTCTGGATTTCCCAGTCTGGAATGCCTCTCTCACATCCTAGTATGTTGAAATCTGTCCATTATTCAAGTGTGAGCTTAGATGCCAACACTTTGATGAAGGCTTATCTGATCCCATTGCCTAGAATTAATCTTCTCTTCCCATGTCTTTGGATTTGAACTGCAGCTTCTGTGCTCTGTTACTAGTCATTCCATTTTCGATAGTCTACCAGTAACTTCTGTGCCTTAGATCCACATTTACACTGGCTTGTCAGGATTGGTCAGTGAATCAAATAGGTAGTAAGTATAAGCTTCTAGAACTACACTCTCCGATATGGTTGTCATTAGCCACTTGTATTTTGACTACTGAGTAGCCACATATGGTTAGTGGCTACTTTATTGAGTAACATAGAGACTTTCATGATTGCAGAAAGTTATTTTGAGCAGTATCTAGAACAATGCCTGGCAAATAATAGACACCAGGGAATGTTGTTCCTAGGTATCACATCCTCATAGTAGACACTCAGTAAATATTAGTTTAACTTTCCTTTCCTCATCTGAATTTTATTAGCGTTTACCTGTGCCATTTAAAAAGTAACAGTTTATGGCAGCTAACACAGTGTATGAACAATAAATATATTTTGGGTGAGTAAGTAAATACTACGAAGCATCCAGAAAGCATCTTGCTCTCTTTTGGGGTGGGGAGAGTAGGGGAGTGGAAGTTAAAAAAAATTCACTACTCAGGCCGGGTGCAGTGGCTCATGCCTGTAATCCCAGCACTTTGGAAGGCCGAGGTGGGTGGATCACTTGAGGTCAGGAGTTTGAGACCAGCCTGGCCAATATGGTGAAACCCCATCTCTACTAAAAATACAAAAATTAGCCAGGCATGGTGGTGCATGCCAGTAATTCCAGCTCCTTGGGAGGCTGAGGCAGGAGAATGGCTTGAACCTGGGAAGCGGAGGTTGCAGTGAGCTGAGATAGCGCCACCGCACTCCAGCCTGGGTGACAGAGCGGACTCCATTTCAAAAAAAAAAAAACAGTTCATTGCTCAATAAGTGAATATTTCCAGGATGCTTAAATTAAACAGGGTAGACTAAGCAGCTAAATAAAGGTGGTCTTATCTACTGCTTTTCAAATTTAGTGTACGCGCATGTCACCTGGGGGTCTTGTTAGAAGATTCTAATTCAGCACGGTCTGGGATTCTGCATTTCTAGCCAGCTTGCAAGCTAGCCAGCTCTGCCCAGTGAGGGTGTAATTCACTAGATTGGCTACTTAAACCCATTTTAACATTTCCTAGTCTTTAGAACTAGTCCTTTAATTTAGCTCAAAGTTTTGTTGTTGTTGTTGTTGTTTTGAGACAGGGTCTTGCTCTGTTGCCCAGGCTGGAGTGCAGTGGCATGATCATGACTCACCACAGCCTTGAACTCCTGGGCTCAAGTGATCCTCCTGCCTCAGCCTCCTAAAGTGCTGAGATGGATTACAGGCATGAGCCACCACACCTGGCCTAAAGTTCTCCTTTTTGAGGTGATAATTTTTAAAGACAGCCCTTATATGTTCAGGAAATATAAGCCTGTTTTTACATAAAGTAGGTGCATTGTTCAGTACCAATATGAGAAAGAATTATGAATACAGCTTTATATTATTAGATTTCTTATGTCATAATATAAAAAACCGGTAAACTTAGCGCTGAACTATTCATGATAGTTGAAAGTTTTAAGCTAATTCAAAATATGAAATAAACCAGAAATATTTTGGAAAGAAGAGGTTTTAAGTATATTCAGGTCCTCCATTTTATGATGTGAGTCTAAATTTCTGTTCTCTGATGTCTAGAAATCACAAAAGGATGGTGATTTTGGGAACGAAGTTCTTGAGCTAGCACTGTCAGTAGTAACTGGCCGTTACTGTAAGATCTAGAGATATATTTTTAGATGCCATTATACTTACAAAGAACTGTTAGAGTGCATTTTATGGTTTTATGGTTGGTTTAATTCCCCAAATATATTGCCCTTAGCAAGTTATTACTATTTTTTATTTCTTAAATTTATTTATTGAACATTTTTATTCCTTTGTTTAGAAATGTGCTAGACAGTGGCAATTACATTGCTGCAAGATAAGTAAAAAAATCAGCTGACTAAGCTTTATAAGAGGAGGAATCATGTCTCTTTTATTTACCGTTGGATAGTCACTACATGGCACATAACCAAGTCATCATTAAGTCATTTTTGAGTGAACATTGCTCAAGATCTGCAAAGCAGCTGTGATGTGTGCGGGGTGTACTGGAAGTTGAACGGGACTCCTCAAGCAGCCTAATGAGTTGGGATTGAGGATTGCATACACAAGGGAACTCGCAGATCAAGTCCTGAAGAGAACATTGTAGTTACTCTGGCAAAGAACAACGAAGACACAAAAGCTGTGCAGAGTAATGGAAGCCTGGAAGGAGTGCCTGTGAAGGGAGAGCGGCTGCACTGACTTTGGTAGAGTTGGAGCATCGTAAGGGTATGGAGGAGAGGGGAGGAGAGTAGTAGAGGTCTCAGCAGTTGTCAGATGACAAAAAGTCTTGCGTTACTAATTTTATCGTATGAAATGAGGATATTTTTTAGGTTTTTAAGCAGAGAGAATGGCAAGGTCATTTGGTTTTAGAAGTTAGTCCGAGCTAGGCATGGTGACAGATGCCTGTACTGGACAAGCTGAGGCAGGAGGATGGCTTGAGCCCAGGAGCTGGAAGCTGCAGTGAGCAGTGATCACATCACTGCAGTCCAGCCTGGGCAACAGAGCAAGACCTTGCCTTTAAAAAAGAAAAGTCTGAAATACCCCTCACAACTGTTAAAAAAAAAAAAAAGTTCTTTCAAGCACACGTGGAGTGTTTTATGAAAGTGACCATTTACTAGGCTATACAGCAAGTTCTTATACATTTCAAATAAAATCAACCATGTTTTCTGGCGAGAAAGCATGTAGGAAGTGAATAACAAACTGTACACATTGGGAAATTTAAAAACACACTTCTGTAAATCCCACAGATTAAATATAAAATAATCAATTTAGTGAACACCTAGAACAAAACAATAGAGAAAATAACAGCCTGAGCAAAATAGTGAGACCCTGCGTCTACAAAAAAAAATAAAAATTAGCCCGGCACAGTGGTGTCCCCCTGTAGCCCCTACTCAGAAAGCTGAGATGGGAGGATTACTTGAGCCTGCAAAGTTGAGTCTGCAGTGAGCCATGATAACACCATTACACTCTAGCCTGGACTACAGAGCGCAAGACCTTATTTCAAAGAAAAAGAAACTTAGGACATATTAAAACGTGTGTGAAACCCTGAAGCCTTAAATATTCATATTTGAAAAGAAGATTTTAATACTAATAAGCTAATCTAAGTTAGGGAAAGAGCATGGCAGTAAATTCAAGTGAAGTAAAATAGAGAATACAGATAAAAGCTAACAATTCTAGAGTTCTTACTCTATTCCAAGCACCGTTCCATGTTCTTTACAAAGGTTATCTCATTTAATCTTCACAAAGCCATATGAGGAGGGTATTGTTATTATGTGCACTTTACACAAGAGGAAACTTAGGCACAGAGAGAAACTTATCCAAGCCTCTAGCTAATAAATGTGATAGAATTGGGGCTTGAAATGATGAATTTTTTAAAAAAAGATACATTGAAGAGGATTAACAGAGCTGAAAGTTGTTTTTTATGAAAGGCTAATAAACTATTTGAAAGATTGATCAAGAAAAAATATAAAGTACAAATAATACTGAGGATATAAAAGGAAGATACAGAAGAAAGTCTTAAAAATAAAATATCTTGAATCACTTTATACCAATAAATTTTACAATTTAAACGTCAATTTTCTAGAAAATTATAACAATGAAAATTGACACAGAGTAAATAGAAAACCTGGATATTTCTGTAACTGTTAGAGAAATTGGATTTGTAATTAAAAGAACCACCCACTTTCATATATTCAGAGATAAGCCTTTGGCCCAGATGATCTTTTTTTCTAAGAAAAAAAAAAACAGGCCTCTTCAGAGACTTCATTTATTATATGAAGAATTAGTGAAAACTTTGTCCCACCATTTTAGGCTATTTTTACATTAGAAAAAATACTGCACATTTATGAAAATTTACTAGGGGCAAATTTCAACTTATCTGTAAAATAGTAATGCCAACTGTGGAGATGGCACTGTAAACCAAAAGGCACAATGACTAAAGAAACTACTGAAAATTTAACAATTATCTCTTCATTATCCTTCCTTATTGGGGAACCTGCCCCGATAGTCATGTAGGTTCTTTTCTATTTTCCGTAAGTGTTGGCTGGTTAGAGAAATAAAGGGACAGAGTACAAAAGAGAGAAATTTTAAAGCTGGGCGTCCGGGGGAGACATCACATGTCGGTAGATTCCGTGATGCCCCACAAGCCGTGAAACCAGCAATTTTTTATTAGTGATTTTCAAAAGGGGAGGGAGTGTGCAAATAGGTGTGGGTCACAGAGATCACGTGCTTCACAAGGTAATAGAATATCACAAGGCAAATGGAGGCAGGGCGAGATCACAGGACCACAGGACGGGGCGAAATTAAAATTGCTAATGAAGTTTCGGGCACCATTGTCATTGATAACATCTTATCAGGAGACAGGGTTTGAGAGCAACCAGTCTGACCAAAATTTATTAGGCGGGAATTTCCTTGTCCTAATAAGCCTGGGAGCGCTATGGGAGACTAGGGCTTATTTCATCCCTACAGTCTCGACCATAGAAGACGGCCACACCCAAGGGGACCATTTCAGAGGCCCACCCTCAGGGGCACATTCTCTTTCCCAGGGATGTTCCTTGCTGAGAAAAAGAATTCAGCAATATTTCTCCTATTTGCTTTTGAAAGAAGAGCAATATGGCTCTGTTCCGCCCGGCTCACCGGCGGTCAGAGTTTAAGGTTCTCTCTCTTATTCCCTGAACATTGCTGTTACCCTGTTCTTTTTTCAAGGTGCCCAGATTTCATATTGTTCAAACACACGTGCTCTACAATTTGTGCAGTTAACGCAATTATTACAGGGTCCTGAGGTGACATACATCCTCCTCAGCTGACAGGATTAAGAGATTAAAGTAAAGACAAGCATAGGAAATCACAAGGGTATTGATTGAGGAAGTGATAAGTGTCCATGAAATCTTCACAATTTGTGTTTAGAGACTGCAGTAAAGACAGGCATAAGAAATTACAAAAGTATTAATTTGGGGAACTAATAAATGTCCATGAAATCTTCACAATCCATGTTCTTCTGCCATGGCTTTAGCCAGTCCCTCCGTTTGGGGTCCCTGACTTCCCGCAACACTTCCTGCTCCAAGATTTGCTATGATGAGTTTTCCAAATGTTAACGACCTGGAAAAGCTCATTGTCTTTAAGACGTATCCCTTCTGAGTCTTGTGATTTGGTGGTTTCTTCATCCAAAACGTATCATCCTCTATAAAACTCCCTGATCCTCAGATTTAACTTTTCAGTTTCTTTTTCCAAGTTCTCATCAGTGGTTTAATGGCTGTATCTGAGCACCTAAAAGGTAAAGACTCTTCCAAGCTGTTGAGACTCCCTCCAGGCAGGGGAATGACTATCTGGGTCTGAGATTATGTCATTAAGTTCTTTTTTTTTCTTTTTCTTTTTTTTTTTTTTTCTTTTTGAGACAGAGTCTCCCTCTGTTGCCCAGGCTGGGATGCAGTGGTGCAACCTCCACTCCCTGCAACCTCAGCTGCTTGGGTTCAAGCAGTTCTCCTCAGCCTCCCAAGTAGCTGGGATTACAGGCACCTGCCTCCACGCCCAGCTAATTATTGTATTTTTAGTAGAGACAGGGTTTCACATCAGGTCTCGAACTCCTGACATCAGGTGATCAACCTGCTGGGATTACAGGCGTGAGCCACCACACCCTGCGTCGCTAAGTTTTTTAACCAGAGAGGCTTCAGGTTTCAGACACACAGAAGCATAATTCTGGCCATACAAAAACCTCAGTTTCTTCTGTCTTCCACCCAATCAAAGTCTCCTTCAAAACTTTAAGTAAGTTTCTATTTGCCACTTCAGGACACACCTGCACTGAACTAGACACTGACTTAGAAACTTGGTTTGATTTGGCAAATTTTCTGTTAAAATGCTCCATACTTTTCTTATGCCTATTAGAGTTATTTCTGACCTACTGTATTTACTTTCAGAATTTTCTGAAGCTATAATCTTTCAGGAAATAGTACTATTTTTTGAAATAGTATTTCTATTTTTTGAAAATAGTATTTCTATTTTTTGAAATAGTACTTTTCAAAAAAGTACTATTTGAAGAACTCTTGAGTATTTACTTTCTGTAAAGGAAGTTCACATGTGGCAGCTTTCTCCTGAGTATCTAATTTGCAATTGCCTAACTGCTCAGTGACATCCACTACTGTCTGTTCTTTGTGTTTGGCATTAGCTTTGAGACCAGCTTTCTTTTTCATTATGCTTTTTTGGTGCAGCTGTCGTCTAATACTTGTTGAATTTGGTCTGTTTCCTGGTAGAATGGAGGAAACAAAGTCTTGCTCATTATCACTGCTGCTGTCATTATGAGTGCTGGAAGAACAATTGCTAGAAGATTCATATTGCTTTTCAAACTGGCTAGGATTGTTGATATCTGATGTTTTAATGGCTTTACTGCATAACTATTTCTTTTCCAGAATGGCCACTTTGCCCTTCCTTTAGCAGTTGAAAATCTGGATGCCTCTCACCGTACTGGAGTTTTGGGAATTTGTGCTTCAAAAAACTCAGATGCTTCATAACAAAAATTGCTGCAAAAAGACTTTCTTTCAGTAATATCATAGACTTTATTGGTTTTGAAATTTTATATTTAATTCCCAGCTTCTTGTGACATAAAGGATAACCACAGAGTTTGACAATAGAATGTTCATTCACTACATCGTTGTAGTGAGCAGGTGTAATGAACTTCCCCTTTTAGAAGCATCTTCTTGTTTCAAAGTACTTGTCTGTTTAGTACCTGTGGCATTTCGAGAATGGTGGGAGCCCTGGCCCTCTGCAGCCCAGGGCAGTCAGCCATGGGAGAGAGTAGTCTGCGGGTCTGGACCAGCTCCAGAGTCTCGCCCCGAGGCACCATCTCCCTACCTGGCCCACGTTATCTTAAGGGTGAATTCTTTTAAACTGTCCATGTCGTAGGTATGTCCAGATTTACACATGCCATTCCAGAGAATAGCAAATTAAGGAAAGTTCCTCAGTTTATTGTGACTAGTATAACTTTGGTACCAAAACCAAGCATGGCTAATATGAAATAAATTATAGACCAGTCTTGCTTGTGTAAAATCTAACAAGATAGGAGCAAAAGAAGTCCAGTATTATGTTTAAATATTTTATATGTATATATCTCATGTCTACAATGCTGACTGTAATACAGTTCTGACAGAGTTAGCATGAAACTCCACAGGTTTAAGGGTGCAGTTCCCAACGAGACTGCCCTTGCTGCGAGTACAAGTTAAAAGTTTGGTGGTCCCCAGACCACCTGTTATTCCGATTAACTGGCTGCAAATCTGGGGGTTCCCATGAATCCCCTCAAGTTTGATAATTTATAAATTAACTGACTGAACTTGGGAAAGTGGTATACTTAAGTTACACTTTAATTATGAAGAATACAGATCAGGACCAGCCAAATGAGATACAGGGTACTGGGAGGGTTCCTAACATGGAGCTTCTGTGCTCTCTTCTCCTGGGATCAGGGTATGTCACCCTCTTGACACATCAGTATGCTCACCAATGAGGAAGCCTACCTGAGCTATGGTGTGTGTAGATTTTATATGTAGGTGTAATGGAATAATTGGCCATGTGATTGAACTCAAACTTTCAGTGTTCTCTCCTTTCTTCCTTAGAGGCTTGGCTAGCTCAAACCCCATCCTTCTACACATGGTGGCCTTTCTGGTGAGCAGACCCCATTCTGAGTCATCTTGTTAGCATAATCTCCCCCATTCTGAGTCAATTGTTAGCATAATCTCAGGAATGATCCATGAGGCTCGTGAGTAACAAAGGCATTCCTACTACCAAGGAAATTCCATGAATTAGAGGTTCTCTCCCAAGAACTAGGGTCAAAGACTGAATACATTATTTATTATACAATAATGACAAATTGAAATTATCCCAGGAATGCAAGATAAGTGTGTTAATTATCATTGCTGCATAACAGTTTATCCCAAAACTTAATGACATGAAACCCTAATTTACAAGAATTCAGGAGTAGCCTAGCTGGATGTGGTTCTAATCTTTATGTTTCACAAGGTTGCAGTCAGGAAGTCAGCAGGGGCTACAGTCATCTGAAAGCCTGACTCGGGGAGAATACACTTCCATGTGGCATACTCACATGGTGGTTGGCAGGAGGCCTCAGTTCTTCACCCTATGGGCCTTCCCATAGGCTCGAGTATCCTCACACTGTGACAGCTGGCTTTCTCCAGATCTAGTGATCCAAAAAAAAAAAAAAAACAAGGAGAAAGCTGCAGTGCCTTTTAAGACCTAGTCATTACTTTATTCGTTTCTTTTTTTTTTTAAATTAAATTGAGATGGGGTCTTGCTATGTTGACCAGGCTGGTCTCAAACTCCTGGTCTCAAGCAGTCCTCCTGCCTGTTCCTCCCAAAGTGCTGTTATTACAGGCAGAAGCCTGTAGTTTTTCCTGTATCCTGTTTGTTAGAAGAAGTCACTCAGTTTAACCTATACTCAAAGGAATTAGTTTCCACCTCTTAAAAAGAAGAGTATGAAAGAGTTTGTGGACATATTTAAAAACCACCACAGATGGTTTATTCAGTAAAGTTCTTAATATGAATTAGTATTAATTTATTAATTCATTTGCACATTTTGAAGGAGAAAAACTCTGTGCTCATATCACTAGATGAAGCAAAAGCACTTGATGAAATTTAACTCCATGATGAAACCTCTCAGCAAACTAGGAAGGGAACTTCCTTAATGTGATAAAGACTTTCATTAAATTTATAATTAATTTAGGAACAGTTGACATACCTTATATTGAAGCTTTCTGTACGTAATATGATTCATCTATTTGTTAAACTTATTATTTTGTTCTTCAGTATTTTAAAATTGTGTTTATATCAGTGTTTTACATTTGGAATTGCAAAATGATATAGTGAAAGATGAAGACTGGAAGTCCTAGCTAGAGCAATTAGGCAAGAGAAGGAAATAAAGGGCATCTAAATTGGAAAGGAGGAAGTCGAATTGCCACGATCATATATATATGTGGAAAACCCTAAAAACTTCACCATAAAACTTTTAGAACTGATAAATGAATTTAGTAAGGTTGCAGAGTACAAAATCAATATACAAAAATTAGTAGTGTTTCTATACACCAATAATGAACTAGCAGAAAAAGAAGAGAGTAATCCATTTACAAAAGCTACCAAAAAATGAAATACATTTGACCAAGGAGGTGAAAGATCTCTACAAGGAAAACTATAAAACACTGATGAAGGAAATTGAAGCGGGCACAAAATATGGAAAGACATCCATATTCAAGGATTTGAAGAATTAATACTGTGAAAATGACCATACTACCAAAAGCAAGCTATAGATTCAATGCAATCCCTATCAAAATACCAGTGACAGTCTTCATAGAAATAGAAAAAAAATCCTAAAATTAATATAGGACCATAAAGGACTGCAAATGCCAAAGCGGTTCTGAGCCAAAAGGACAAAGCTAGAGGCATCACACTACCAGACTTCAAGATATACTGCAAAGCTGTAGTAACTGAAACAGCATGGTACTAGCATAAAACCAGACAGTAGACCAATTGAACAGAATAGAGAACCTAGAAATAAATCCACATATTTATAGCCAGCTGGCAAAGGCGCCAAGAACATGCTTTGGGGAAAAGACAGTCTTCAATAAATGGTGCTGGGAAAACTGGATATACATATGCAGAGTGAAACTGTACCCCTGTCTTTCACCATATACAAAAATAAACTCAAAATGGATTAAAGACTTAAATGTAAGACAAAGGCACCAAAGACAAAGTGAATCATCTATTTTCTTTTATTATTATTATTTTTTGAAGTATAGAGATGGGGTCTCACTACATTGCCCAGGCTGGTCTCAAACTCCTGGGCTCAAGTGATCCTCCTGCCTTGGCCTCTCAAAGTGCTGGGGTTATAGGTGTGAGCCATTAGCGCCCAGCTAAATACTGTATTTTCAGCCCATGTTTGCCTGCAATATGAAGAGATTGCTATACTTATTGAAAAGAAGAGACCGGAAGTGGTGGTTCATGCCTGTAATCCCAGCACTTTGGAAGGCTGAGGCAGGTGGATCACCTGAGGTCAGGAGTTCGAGACCAGCCTGGCCAACGCCATCTCTACTAAAAATATAAAAATTAACCAGGCTTGCTGGCATGCGCCTGTAGTCCCAGCTACTCGGGAGGCTGAGGCAGGAGAATCTCTTGAACCTGGGAGGCGGAGGTTGCAGTGAGCCAAGATTGCGCCACTGCACTCCAGCCTGGGCGACAGAGTGAGACTCGTCTCAAAAAACAAAAAGAACTTGCATATAAATTGACCCATGCAGTTCCAACCTGTATTGTTCAAAAAAACCAAAACCTCCCTTAGACCTAGAATCCCACTTCTGCAAATCCAGCCTACAGTTTTATCAGCCCAAACAACAACAAAAGCATCTCTTCAAGTTTATTTATTGCCGCATTGCTTATACTAAATTATTGGAAATGATCTAAAATGTCCATCAACATGGTTGTGCACTGTGGCATGCACCTGTAGTTGGGACTGCTCGGGAGGCCGAAGCAGTGCAATCTGATTGCACCTGTGAATAGCTCCTGCACTCCAGCCTGGACCAGCATGGCAAGACCCTATCTCTAAGAAGAAAATGTTCATCAACGAGAATGAGCAAATATGACCATAAGATATTTATAGGATAAAACACTAGATAACAATGAAAATGAATTAAGAAGAACTACAAGTATCTATCATGGAAATACTTCACAGTGTTATGTGAACAAAATTAAAGCATTATATATATAAAAACAGTAAAGTTTTTATATATCTGTAGAAAGTTTAACAATATGTAAGGCAATGCTATATGTTACTTAACAATCCTTTCTTTGAAATAAAAGGCAAGTTGATGTGTGTTTAAACTAGAAATCCCAGGAAAAAATCAGAAAGGTACCTGGGCTTAAAGAAAAATGCTAAACGGGGCTGGGCGCCATGACTCACACCTGTAATTCCAGCAGTTTGGGAGGCCGAAGCTGGTGGATCACCCGAGATCAAGAGTTCGAGACCATCCTAGCCAACATGGCAAAACCCTGTCTCTACTAAAAATACAAAAATTGGCCAAGTGTGGTGGCATGTGCCTGTAGTCCCAGCTACTCGGGAGGCTGAGGCAGGAGAATTGCTTGAACCTGGGAGGCGGAGGTTGCAGTGACCCGAGATTGTGCCATTGCACTACAGCCTGGGCAACAGAATGAGACTCCATATCAAAAAAAAAAAAAAAGATGCTAAAAGGAAAGCAGGGACAAGTAAATGTCAAATCCATTTCATGCCATAGAACTTTTTTTTTTTTTTTTTTGAGGCGGAGTCTCGCTCTGCCGCCCAGGCTGGAGTGCAGTGGCATGATCTCGGCTCACTGCAAGCTCCACCTCCCGGGTTCATGCCATTCTCCTGCCTCAGCCTCCCCAGTAGCTGGGACTACAGGCGCCCGCCACCACGCCCGGCTAATGTTTTGTATTTTTAGTAGAGACAGGGTTTCACCATGTTAGCCAGGATGGTCTCAATCTCCTGACCTTGTGATCCGCCATCCTTGGCCTCCCAAAGTGCTGGGATTACAGGCGTGAGCCACCGCGCCTGGCCTAGAACTTCTTACAACACCCTAAACCAGTACATTTCAACCTGAAAAGATGTTGTAACGCAGAATAAAGAAAATAAAGTACAGATATTTCATTCCCAAGGCGGGGAACTCTTCTAGGTTCCCAAGTTCTTGAGCTTCACGTGCATACAGCAGGAATCTGTCATCTTGAGGGAGTTCTTTCTTAAACCTATGGGTTTGTAAGATTTTAGTTTTCTATGCTGTCCTTTTTTGGTCATGCTTGTCAGGGAAGAATTGTTAAAAATCTATTTTAACACCCTCTGCCCTTATTCAGGGCAGTTAGAGACTTAAATTTTACGTACACATACTACCTTTGAACCTTCAGTGTGTTGTTTATGTACTGAAAGATTGCAGTTGAATTTAGATCATGCTTTGAAGTTCCCTTTGTCAGACCACATTGTTTGTACCCAAAGAAAGACTTCATTTTCTTTTTGTCTGTAATTATTTCCATACTTATTTAACTTGGTATAACATGTGGTACTGTAAAA
Source organism: Homo sapiens (assembly GCF_000001405.40). NCBI lineage: Eukaryota > Metazoa > Chordata > Mammalia > Primates > Hominidae > Homo > Homo sapiens. Next base: position 86,861,645 of record NC_000010.11, read on the forward strand.
GCATAACCCAAGCCATTGTTTGCCTTAAGCAACATTTTAGACATTTTAGATTTGGGGATGTGGTGTTTACTTATACAAGCCTTTCTTAAGCCCTTTTAATTTATATCTCAAACTTGAGGATATCCATGAAAACAGCGGAAACTTTTTCCTCACCGGATCTTGACACAAGTCAGGGATGGAAGTGAGCAAAAGGAAGTGGTGTGGTTTTTATATCATTTCAGTTGTGTTGAGATAGGGAAATGGGATAGTTTATCCACTGTACTGCTCTTTTGGGAAAGTCTGGTTTGTATATAAAAGTGAAAGGAATTGGCATAATGTTTTAATTTCTTCTGCTCCATTCAGTCATTCCCTCAATAAATATTTATTTAGTATCGACTCTGTGCCAGGCACTGTTCCAGGTGCTAAAAATATAAAGTGAGTGAAACAGACTAACCCTCCTGGCCTCATGGAGCATATATTCTAGAGCAGGTGGCAGGCAATAAAATACAGAAAAATTATATCAAATTATATAGCATGACAAATGCTAAAGAGAAAGAAACAGCCAGAAAGGAGAGGAGTGCTAGGCATGGGGATGGGATTACAGTTTTAAATAGGGTGGGCAGGAAGCCTGTAAATAAGAAAGGGATTTTGAGTAAGTGCTTGGAAGGGGCAAGGCAGCAGTCCCGGGGAAGACCATTACAGGCATAGGGATCTGCACGTGCCAGGGTCCTGCAGCAGGACTGTGAGCGGCAGGTGCAAGGAACACCTATTAGGCTGGAACGGAGGGAGGGTGGACCACTGGAGACTTTAGCTTTTTGTCTGAGTGAGTTGGAGCACCGTTGGAGGGATCTGAATGGGGTGTGATGTGGTTTAACATGCTTTCTCTTAGGATCACTCTGGCTGCTGTGTTGCAAATCCATAGTGGGCACAGGTGGAAGCAGGAGGCCAGTTAGGAGGTGCCTTCAGCAATCCAGGCAAAGGGGTTAGTGGCTTGGTCCAGAGCGAGCAGTGGAGGTAGTAGGAAGTGTGTGGGTTCTGGACAGATTCTGCAGGTACAACCAGTGGATTTGATGACAGGAAATGGAATGCAAGAAGGAAAGAGGGAGTTGTCAAGAATGACTTGAGATTTTAGGCCTGGTTACATCAGTGTAGCGATATTCTAAAAATAAAAAAAAAAAGATTTTAGACCTGGGACTTTTAAGATTTTACACCAAGTAAAGAGGCTGTCAACGGAGGTGGGAAAGACTTAGGATCTAGCAAATTTGGGAGGGAAGAGGCAAGGAAAGATAAATAGTGACAAATTGTATAGTTGCTGATAACATTGTTAAGTCAATATTTATACTATTTGAGCTGCCTTTTTTTTTTTTTCCCCCTCTGAGACAGTCTCGCTTTGTCGCCCAGGCTGGAATGCAGTGGCACAGTCTCAGCTCACTGCAACCTCTACCTCCCAGGTTCAAGCAGTTCTCCTACCTCGGCCTCAAGTAGCTGGGATTACAGGCACCCACCACCAGGCCTGGCTAATTTCTGTATTTTTAGTAGAGATGGGGTTTCACTATGTTAGCCAGGCTGGTCTTGAACTCCCCGCCTCAAGTGATCTGCCTGCCTCAGCCTCCCAAAGTGCTGGGATTACAGACGAGAGCCACTGTGCGGGCCTTAGCTGTCTTAAAAATAGCACTTATAGCAGCCTGTGTTTTCTTTTCAGATGTTATCAAGTATCTTTTCTGGTAAGACATTTATTTGCCTTTATTCAGAATTGCTAATTTTATGCTAATCTAACCCAGAATACTCAAGTGTGCCTTTCCCTTTAATCCTCATATTAGCTATATTAGCTAGAATATTTTTGGTTGTAACAGAAAAATTGACTCTCTCTGACCTAAAAAATGGAATTTATTGGCTCTTAAGAGTTCCAAAGTAATTGAGGCTTCAGACAAGGTTGCTTGAGTGGCTCATCGATGTCTCCCGGGATCTGGCTTCTTTCAGTCTCCTGGCTCTGCCTTCTGGTTCTCCTTCTGGGCCCAACATAGCTGCCAGCAGTTTCTGGGACTGCCTTATTCATATTGAGTCTGAGAGAGTGACTTTGTCACTGCAGGGTCAGTCAAAGTCCTGAGACTATTAGACCAGCTCGCCCCTGAACTTTTTGTGGCAGGGAAGATAGAATATGCTTAGTGTAAGAGCCTCTACTCCTGAGATCTTAGGGGAAATCTTTGTACCCTGAATTAAAAAAAATTTTTAAATAGTTACATAAGTGGAAATGATTGATTTTTAAAAATTGCTTTTGCATTGTACAAGCACCATGGTTAACAAAACAATTCCTTTTTAAAGCAGTCAGGTGGGAAGGGAAAAAAAGTAAAATTGTATTCATACATTAGTTTGATCAAGATAATTTTTCTTCTTAGAGATTTAATAGTGTTGCCACTTGACCAGCTGGAACTACAAAGGAACCATTAGATAGTAATGAAGTATGATACCCTTTTCAGCACTCCTTCTCACCTTTTTACTTTACATCTCCAGTTTTGCCTCGCACAAGGTCTCTTCTTCCTCTGTGGATCCTCTACCTACATGTGTCTACCTGCTAATTAGACAGGCACATGCACACTAGTTTTCTTTATCCCCAAAATTCAGTTTGCAAATGGGACCGAAGAGCTCCCTGTTCCCCTCATGACACCGACACGACAAAAAAAAGTTATTCCACTAATTCCCTTGATGGTCGGTTTAGGAGTTTCTGCCTCCACTATTGCTCTCGGTACTGGAATAACAGGCATTTCAACCTCTGTCACGACCTTCCGTAGCCTGTCTAATGACTTCTCTGCTAGCATCACAGACATATCACAAACTTTATCAGTCCTCCAGGCCCTAGTTGACTCTTCAGCTGCAGTTGTCCTCCAAGGACAACTCCGAGGCCTTGACTTACTCACTGCTGAAAAAGGAGGACTCTGTATATTCTTAAATGAAGAGTGTTGTTTTTACCTAAATCAATCTGGCCTAGTGTATGACAACATAAAAAAACTCAAGGATAGAGCCCAAAAACTTGCCAACCAAGCAAGTAATTATGCTGAATCCCCTTGGGCACTCTCTAATTGGATGTCCTGGGTCTCCCAATTCTGTCCTTTAATACCCATTTTTCTACTTCTTTTATTGGGACCTTGTAGTTTCTCAATTCATCCAAAACCGTATCCAGGCCATCACCAGTCATTCTATACGACAAATGTTTCTTCTAACAATCCCACAATATCACCCCTTACCACAAGATCTCCCTTCAGCTTAATCTCTCCCACTCTAGGTTCCCACGCCGCCCCTAATCCCGCTTGAAGCAGCCCTGAGAAACACCGCCCATTCTCTCTCCATACCACCCCCCAAAAATTTTCGCCGCCCCAACACTTCAACACTATTTTGTTTTATTTTTCCTATTAATATAAGAAGGCGGGAATGTCAGGCCTCTGAGCCCAAGCCGAGCCATCGTATCCCCTGTGACTTGCACATATACGCCCAGATGGCCTGAAGTAACTGAAGAATCACAAAAGAATGAATATGCCCTGCCCCACCTTAACTGATGACATTCCACCACAAAAGAAGTGTAAATGGCCGGTCCATGCCTTAACTGATGACATTCCACCACAAAAGAAGTGAAAATGGCCAGTCCTTGCCTTAACTGATGATATTCCACCACAAAAGAAGTGAAAATGGCCAGTCCTTGCCTTAAGTGATGACATTACCTTGTGAAAGTCCTTTTCCTGGCTCATCCTGGCTCAAAAAGCTCCCCCACTGAGCACCTTGCGACCCCCACTCTGCCCGCCAGAGAACAACTCCTCTTTGACTGTAATTTTCCTTTATCTACCCAAATCCTATAAAACGGCCCCACCCTCATCTCCCTTCGCTGACTCTCTTTTAGGACTCAGCCCGCCTGCACCCAGGTGATTAAAAGCTTTTATTGCTCACACAAAGCCTGTTTAGTGGTCTCTTCACACAGACGCACATGAAACTAGGCAAGAATCAGTGTTTCTCTACAAATTGAGTTGACAAAAAGAAATTATCTTCCCCTGCCCCCACAAAAAAAGAACCAGTATTTCTCAACAAGGAGAGTACTGTTAGCATTTGGTTCTTTATTTTGAAGGATTGTCCCTGCACATTGCATTTTCTATCCTGGTCCCTGGTCAAACTGTATGTCCTGTCATATCCCAGACATTATTCCAACCAAAAAGTCACCTACATATTTTTAGATCCTCTTAGGAGGGGGTGGTAACCCAGCCACTGCTGATGCCTGAGGGGAGTGCAAAGCTGGGTTTTTGAGGAGCTGGGACTGAGATCCTGAGTAGTAGGCACCACTGGGCCTAAAAGGATTCCATGGGGTTGGTTCTGGGAGTGTGGAAGGAAGCAGAGAGTGTAGATTGCTGCTGCCAATTGAATGCCAGTGGCATTCAGGCAACTGACAGGAACAGCGAACCAAATTGGGAAAAAGAAAGTCCCTTCTCCCCTCTTCCAGCTTTCTCTAGTTCCCCAGTTGGCAGAGCCTCTCCAGGAACCAGCTGGTGAAGGACATATTGTCAGCAGCATCCCAGCTCCAGCATCAGAAAGCAGAATCTATAGATAGAAGAGGGAGCTTTTTTTTTTTTTTTTTGGCTGAAAAGCGATAGTGTAAAAAGGGACACAGTACTTTCTGTTTTTTAATCTCATTACTTTCCTGCCAGCGCCTTAACATGCAGTAACAAGTGGAATTTGGGCTTTGTCAGCAGCAAACCTGCCACTTACTGGTTGTGTTAAGTTGGGCAAGTTTCTTTCTTTTTTTTTTTTTTTTTTTTTTTTTTTGAGATGGAGTCTCGCACTGTCACCTGAGCTGGAGTGCAGTGGTGTGATCTTGGCTCACTGCAATTTCTACCTCCTGGGTTCAAGTGATTCTTCTGCCTCAGCCTCCTGAGTAGCTGGGTTTGCAGGTGCCTGCCACCACGCCTGGCTAATTTTTTGTATTTTTAGTAGAGACAGGGTTTTACTATGTTGGCCAGGCTGGTCTCGAACGCCTGACCTCGTGAGCCACCATGCCCGGCCAACTCAGGCAAGTTTCTTTGCGCTTCATTTTTTTTTTTTTCAGAGTTATGAAGATGAAAAAAGATCTTACAGGGTTCAGTAAAAAATAACTTCCAGTTTCCTGTTTAACATATGTGCTCATGGTATACCCGACAAAACACTGCACTTTGGATTAGAAAACCTGGGTGTTAGTTTGTCATATATACTAGCTACATGGAATTCAGCAAGTTATTTATCTCCTTGAACCTATCTTTTCTCTGTAAGTAGGAATGATTTTACTTACTGTAAGGATCACAGAGATGGGATAATGCACGTAAAACTAATTTGTAAGTTATAAAAATGACAGTGACAATGGGATGCTAAGCAGGTACCATTAAATACCACCACATATCTGAGTTTCTCTGATTTAATCTGCACAAAATACCTAGATCATCTGTTTTAGGCTAGACTCTGAACTCTTTACCACCACATTAAACTGTTTTTTTCTCTATTCAATTTACCAGTAAAGGTTGAGCATCCCTAATCCAAAAATCTGAAATCTGAAATGCTGTAAAACCTGAAGTTTTTGAGTGTTGACATGACGCTCAAAGGAAATGCTCATTAGGTGTTTTGGATTTGAGTTGCTGAACCAGTAAGTATAGATAGTGCAAATATTACAAATTTAAAAATCCAAAATCCAAAACACTTCTGGTCCCAAGCATTTCTAATAAGGAGTAGTCAACTTGTACCCATTGTATGCCTATGGGGTGACCAGACCCTCTCCCTTTCCAGACAGTTCTGCAATAACTGATTCACTTCGCCTGTTTTTGGTCATTTCTGCGTGTTCTAGAGGAGAAACAGAAGAGTGACACCTAGGTCTCTTAAATAGACAGCTGACAGACATTACGAATCTCTTCGAAGTACAGATATGCCAAAGATTGCTGTGTAGTACAATCTAGTTGTAATTGTGAGACTTTTGTTGTTGTTGTTGAATACAGTTAAACAAAAAAGCTTTGGAGAAACTAGGTTAGGGAATTTGTAGTACAAGGTTGAATGATGTTTTGAAAACAGATTATCTATTTGAAAAATGTTTCAGAAACCTGGAAGCATTTCTTCTGCATCTAATGTTGAGGTCCTGGTGAAGGGTATAAAACACACAGCATCAACTATATATAATGCTATACTAGATTGTCTTGATTCTGTGGTCCTGGAAGAGTTTATACTTGTGTTGGGGAAACTATCTTGGCATAGAAGGAAAGTGAAGGTTTTGAGTGGGGCAGGGACAGTTGAGCAGAAATACAAAGGTTAAATGTGGGCTTGTTTTGATTGTTAATTAATAATTGAGCATGGGGGAAAGGTAGAGTTGGAAAGTAATTTCAGGGGTGGCGATGAAATTGGTAACTTCAAAGTGGTGGAGACATGACAGTGGAAGTTTTATACAGTGGAACTTCCCCATCCCTGTTTTAGGTCTTCACTTAGTTGCATGGTTGGCTCTCTTTGCTCCTGGCCCACGGGCATTATTGTAAAACTTTCTAAAACACCCTGTTATGAATGTCTTACCCATAGCAAGATCTGACAGCGTGGACACCAAGGCAGGCATTTCGGTAAGATTTCTGTGTATTACCTCAGATACACTCAGACAACTCTTTAAGCAAGTTATTTTCTTCAGGGTTTATGTTTAGATTTGCGGGATATTGTTTTCTACACTGATGTAAATAACTGCGAGTGGTGTTGCTCCAGTTGTACAAGTGTGTATTCCTCTAAGGATTGATGGGGAGGAGTGTAGAGAACGGGAAGGAATGGATGAGTTGCTTGTTAAGGGAAAAGATGATATTCTTATGCTAATCCAGGCCCTGGATAAGGAGCAGAGCAGCCATGCGAACAATGGCCTTGGAGCCAGGAAGTCTGCAGTGAGTCTATTCCTTCTCAGAAAGCTTGTCAGACCCGGCGCCTGGAGCTGCCTGGCGGGGAGGGACCCCTGGAAAGGAGAGTTTTCTCCTTGCTATTTTATGGAATTGGCTGCTGGCCAGCTTGTTGGAAATTCCCAAACTTCTCTACTAGAAAGTGAAAATCAACGGTGGGGGGCTTAACAGGAAGAGGAAGGAATGACTTTACTCTGTAGTCTGTTTTTTCAACTGACTTCAGCCTTTTCCTGTGTTTTTTTTTTTTTAAGTTCCAATTGAACTGTTGGTTCAGTTGTCTTGCTGTTTGAGGAGTTTTAAAATCTTTTACTTAAAAAAGAAATTATTTATATTTGAGTAATTCTGCCTTAATGTTATTTTCCTGAAAAGAAACAGTACCAGTCTGTGTATATAGCAAGGGGAAGTAAATTTATTTAGATGCCCATTTCGTCTAACTATTCAATAGCTTTTAAATGGCAGCATGATTAAAAAATTTTGATTATGCAGCATGTCAAATATCTGCATCTCCTTATATTCTTCACTTTGCAAGATTAGATATTTTTAATGTAAAAATTCCGATGAATCATTTAGGAATTTAAAAAATATATTTTATCGTTAGATATTACAATTACATAATTTTAAGAATGATTGTGGCCAGGCACGGTGGCTCACACCTGTAATCCCAGCACTTTGAGAGGCCGAGGTGGACAGATCGCCTGAGGTCCAGGAGTTCAAGACCAGCCTGGCCAACATGGTGAAACCCTGTCTATACTGAAAATAGAAAAATTAGCTGGACGTGGTGGTGCGTACCTGTAGTCCCAGCTACTCCGAGGCTGAAGCAGGAGAATTGCTTGAACCCAGGAGGTGAAGGTTGCAGTGAGCAGAGGTTGCACCACTGCAGTCCAGCCTGGGCTACAGAGCAAGACTCTGTCTCAAAAAAAAAAAAAAAAAAGGCTGGACGTTGTGGCTCACACCTGTAATCTCAGCACTTTGGGAGGCAGAGGCGGGAGGATCACCTGAGGTTGGGAGTTCGAGACCAGCCTGACCAACATGGAGAAACTCCATCTCTACTAATAATACAAAAATTAGCTGGGCGTGATGGCGCATGCCTGTAATCTCAGCTACTCGGGATGCTGAGGCGGGAGAATCGCTTGAACCCTGGAGGCAGAGGTTGCGGTGAGCTGAGATGGCGCCATTGCACTGCAGCCTGGGCAACAAGAGTGAAACTCTGTCTCAAAAAAAAAAAAAGAATTGTTGAAAAATAAGGTTAATATTTTGCTATGTGATTGTAGAAACAGTTAATATGAGACAAAGGAGAAGTGCTCAGTTATTAATAATTACATCTGTTTGTTGAAATGTTTACTGAGATGTAATATTACTAACTCTTTTGAGTTAGTAATATCCCCATTTTGTGGTGAAGGAAACCGAGACCTGGATAGCTTAAGTAATTCCCCAAAATCACACAGCAAATAAATACTGGAGCTGATTTTTAAAAATTATTTATATTTATTATTTTATCAGTGAATACCACATCAGTGTATGTGGTGTTAACGCCTTTATTAATGCAGTTTTTAGACGAATGGTGTTCTGGGGCCCTCCCCTCTTTTCACTCTCTTGGAAGGCCATCTCCAGAGTCATAGCTGAATATTACCGTTCTTTTAGCATAACCGATTTGTATGTTCAGCCCCAAATGTGTCCTTTAAGTTTCAGAACCAAATGCCCGTTAGACATTCCCTTTGGGTAATCTCAGATCTCTAAATTTGAACCTTTGATCTCTTCACTCCTGTCAAAATCACTCATTCCCATTTCAATAACTGTTCATGCCACAGATGTGGGAATCTTCTTTGACGCCTCACTTTCCCTTACCCTACATTTAATCCATTGCTAAGTACCACTGAGTTTTGTTTTGTTTTGTTTTGAGACAAGGTCTCGCTCTGTTGCCCAGGCTGGAGTGCAGTGGCATAATCAAAGTTCACTGCAGCCTTGAACTCCTGGGCTGAAGAGATCCTCCCACCTCAGCCTCCCTAGTGTCTGGGACTACAGGTATGCACCACCATGCCCAGCTAATTTTTTTAAGTTTTTTGTACAGATGAGGTCTTGCAGTGTTTCCCAGGCTGGTGTTAACTCCAGACCTCAAGTGATTCTCCCACCTCAGCCTTCCAAAGTGCTGAGATTACAGGTGTGAGCCACGTACCCAGCCAAAAATTATTTTTGAAGTATAGCATGAGTCCATCCACTATACCACTGCCACCCTATTCTTTTTTTTTTTAATTCATCCATCTGCACACGGATTCTGCCCTAATCTTAACCACCATTGTCATTCTCCTAAATTTCCACAATATTCTGCTTACTCATCTGTTTGCTTTTGCTATTATCCCCTCCAGTCCATTACGTAGAAGTCAGATGATGCCCACTTAGGCTTAAATCCCAAGTCCTTCATATGCCCTTGCCTGATCTGGTCTTTGTCTTCTCTGCCTCTTCACCCTCATCTCCCACTACACTATCTCTTATTCTCAACATTTCAGACATTGTTCTCTCTTTGCTTTTCTCTCCCTCAAGATCTTTGCCCACGGTGTTCCCTGTGCTTAGAACTTCCCGTCTTTCTTTGCCTGACTGACTCTATTTTTCAGATCTCAACTTAAAGGTCACTTCTCAGCATTGCTTCCCTTTCCGCTTCATCTAGATTAGAGGGGGGTCACTGCCCCTATTCCTTCAGGACCTGGCACTTTTCTTCCTTTGCACTTATCATGAGTTATGATTGTGTATCATTTGTGTTTTCTTGTTTGGTGTCTTGAGTATCTTAATTGTTTTGTTTAAGGACTCTGAACTTCATGAAGGCTGGGCCTGTTTGGCTCTGAACAGTGTATTCTTGGTATCTAATACAGAATCATGCATAGCACAGACACTTAATAAACATTTAGGGAATAAATTAATAATTCAACGGCAAGAACACTGTTTCCATAGGACTCCAGCATTGGAAGGGATAACGTAGATTATTTAGTCTAGGGCCAGGCGGTGGTGGCTCACGCCTGTAATCCCAACACTTTGGGAGGTTTAGGCGGGTGGATTGCTTGAGTCCAGGAGTTCGAGATCAGTCTGGGCAACATGGCAAACCCCATCTCAACAGAAAATACAAAATTAGCCAGGCTTGGTGACACGTGCTTGTGGTCCCAGCTACTCAGGAGGCTGAGGTGGGAGGATTGCCTGGAGCCCAGGAGGCAGTGAGCTGAGGTTGTACCACTGCACTTCAGCCTGGGCAACAGAGTGAGACTCTGCCTCCAAAAAAAAAAAAAAAATTTAGTCCAGTCTCCCTTTCTATCATGTTGGTCATGTCTTTGACAAAGATGCTCTCAAACTTTATTCCTTATGTACTCTGTGAGCAAAGTCCCTGGGTTCTTTTGGTTGTATCTCAAGTGGAGTGGTTGCTATGTCCTTTGCATTCCTGTCATTCTTCTCTCAAGTGCTTAGGAGGCCTGGCCAGGTGGAATACAGTAAGATGGTTGTCCTGTTTGATTACAGCAGCATTTCCCTTCATTCTCAGACTGCATGCATGTCTTAGGAGTTGTCATCAATACCAATACGTATTGAGCTCGTAGTCAGGGAAGATTTGATGGCTGTTCTCCATACAAGTTATCACAGCTTTTTTTGTCTATAAAAATTTCTTGCAGATTGAATTGTTATGGATAGCACCTGTTAGTGACTTCCTTTGCCAGGTTGGCAAGTGTGTTGTAAACATGGATGAGAGGAGGAAACTTCTATTTAGCACCTACTATGTACCAGGCTCTCCTAAATAGTTTAAAATGTGTATTTACATTATATAATATATATAAAATCAGGCAGGGAAGTATAGGATAGTTGTTAACATGTAGAATCTGGAATCAGACCTCCTTGATTTTAATTATGACTCTGCCACTTAACCTGTTGTGTGATCTTTGATAAGTTCCTTAAAGTCTACTTGCCTGTTTCTTCATCTGTAAAATTAAAATAATAATTTAACCTTTAAATAAGTTGGTTGATGGTTTGATAACTTAATATATGCAAAGCATTTATGACTACTGGCACATAGAGGTTAATATGTGTTAGCTATTATTTTATATGAGTTCCTTAAGTTTAAAAATATTTAAATTTATTTAATTTTTTATTTTAAAAATTATTTTAAATATGTGTTTGCTGTTATCTCATTTGGTTCTCAAAATAACTGTCAGTTAATAAATATCATTCCAGATTTGTTTGTTTGTTAAGATGGGGTCTTGCTGTGTTGCCAAGGCTGGAGTGCAGTGGCTCTTAACTGTTGTGATCACAGTGCATTGTAGCCTGGAATTTCTGGGCTCAAGTGATCCTGTTTGAGCCCAGGATTACAGCTGAGATTACAGGCGGTCACCACCACAGTTGGCCTCATTCCAGTTTTAAAGATGAGGAAACTAATTCAGAGAGGTTAAGTTAAAGGCAGATCCAGAATTTGAACTTATGCCAGGGTAGCAGGGTCGTGGATGTTTTTGCGGAAGGAACTCACACACAGTCCTTTCCTCTGAAAGGGAAAGCACTTAGAGTCTCACGGCCAGCCAGCTCTGCAGGGTGCCTTGGTTGTGGCTCTAATGAGACAAGGCCACATATTAGCTTTAAATAAACCAATGAGGAAACAGTGACAATGAAAGATGTAACAAGGCATAGCGGTCAGTCTCCTGCCCAAGACTGTGAGTTCCTTGCAGCAGGAACAACCATACTCATATTTGTATTTCTGGTACCTAACACTGGGTCGGTAATACGTACTCCAGATGCAGGCCAGTTGCAGTGGTTCACACCTGTAATCTCAGCACTCTGGGAGGAGGCCAAGGCCACAGGATTGCTTGAGGCCAGGAGTTTGAGACCAGCCCAGGCAACATAGCGAGACCCACCGCCCCCACCCCTATTAAATTAAAAAAAAAAAAAAAGATGTTGTTGGTGAATAAGTGAGTAAATTAATAAGTGAAAATTTGGGGAGGGGTGGAGACCTAGCAAGGGAGGCAGGACCAAAGCCAGGGTTTCTGGCATGGTATCCACTGGAGAGTGGTAGCCAGTGGAGGAGCAAGAAAGAAAGGTGTGGGTTTGATTTAGACAGGTGGAGTGTGATTCTAGTAGAAATATTTAGTGGGAAAATTGAAATGAGGAAGAGAGATTAGGATTGGAAATACACTGGAAACTTCTCTTGAATTGGAAACCTGGAACATATATCCTTAGAATGACAGTTGAATTATTTCAAGAAGTTTTCAAAGAAATGCTGTTAAATCATGTGGCAGACATTATTCTATAGTTATTTTAGACTTTACATCTTTTTCTCTCAGCATTATGTAATGGGAAACAATTTTATATTACAGAAATAAGAGATTGCAGGGATTTTTAGAACTAAGCTACATATAACATACACGTGTAAATGATACCTCACTGTAAACCTTCTTTGCCTCAGTACTGTGAATAACTTTGGAAAGCTAATTAAAGTGAAAATTCTTACTTAGATATTATAAAGTAGAAAGCTCAGGTTATTAATGTAGAAATCACACCAGGGTCATTGTGTCATAAATAAGCAAGATCTTTGTCATTCAGGAATAGTTCAAGCTGAAAGTCAATAAAATCAAACCACATGAAACAATGGGATGGGGGTAAAGTAGAATGATATATATCTTGATACTAATTAGCCTTTTCCCCCGTTATTTATTTAACAATTTTACTTTGAGGCATTTAAAAGTTCACTGTCTATATTAATAATCACCAAACCTTAATTGGAGAGATTATGTTTCATGTCATCCATATTAGAAGTTCAGTTTCATCTTAATAAAGTCAAATTTGCAATATTTTAGGAAATAATTTCTTTAAGATACTGCTTTTTTCCCTCCGCTCCCCTCCCCTCCTCTCCTCTTTTTTTATGAGATTGTGTCTCACTCTGTCACCCAGGCTGGAGTGCAGTGGCGCAGTCTCAGCTTACTGCAAGCTTCGCTTACTGGGTTCAAGCCATTCTCCTGCCTCAGCCTCCTGAGTAGTTGGGACTACAGGCGCCTGCCACCACACCTGGCTAATTTTTTTTGTATTTTTAGTAGAGACGGGGTTTCACTATGTTAGCCTGGATGGTCTCGATCTCCTGACCTCATGATCTGCCCACCTCAGCCTCTCAAAGTGCTGGGATTACAGGCGTGAGTCACTGCACCCGACCTTCTTTTTTTTTTTTTTTTTTTTTTTTTTGAGATGGAGTCTCGCTCTGTCGTGTAGGCTGGAGTGCAGTGGCACAATCTGCAATCTTGGCTCACTGCAACCTCTGCCTCCTGGGTTCAAGTGATTCTCCTGCCTCAGCCTCCTGAGTAGCTGGGATTACAGGCACCCACCACCATGCCTGGCTAATTTTTGTATTTTTAGTAGAGATGGGGTTTCACCATGCTGGCCAGGCTGGTCTTGAACTCCTGACTTCACTTCAGGTGATCTGCCCACCTTGGCCTCCCAAAGTGCTGGGATTACAGGTGTGAGCCACTGCACCTGGCTCCTTTTTCTTTTTTTTCCTTTAATGATGAAGCACCCTCTTTAATTAAATATGTGTAATTTTCGCCTGGCATGGTGACTCACACCTGTAATCCTAGCACTTTGGGAGGCTGAGGCTGGCGGATCACCTGAGGTCAGGAGTTTGAGACTAGCCCGGCCAAGATGGTGAAACCCCATCTCTACTAAAAATACAAAAATTAGCCGAGTGTGGTGGTGCACACCTGTAATCCCAGCTACTCAGAAGGCTGAGGCAGGAGAATCACTTGAACCCAGGAGGTGGAGGTTGCAGTGAGTCGAGATGGTGCCATTGCACTCCAGCCTGGGCGACCGAGCAAAACTCTGTCTCAAATAAAATAAAATAAAATGAATTAATATGTGTAATTTTCTAGGTCGGCTTCCTCTTCTATCTATAGAATAAATTATTTATTAGAAAGACTTAGGGTGTTTTCATTATATCTACTAGAATTTGCAAGAATGTTGATGGTTACCCTTATGTTTTAAATTTAACTTTTCCTGTTTAAGTCTTAATATAGTTGGGAATTTTCATGTTATTAATAAAATAATTAGAACAGCCAGAAAGGACTATTGAGATTGTTTAATATACTTCCCTTGTTGTACATATGGCTAATCTGAGGTCAGGAGAGGTTGCAGCCTATTAACTAAATTATTTGAAGTTTGAAATTATAGTGCCTAAAAAAAAAAAAGCAAGGATACCTTTAATCTTTTAAAATGTATTTCATTGTTTAAAGGTGTGTTTGGGCATTTGTTTCCCTTTTAGTTTTTGAAAAATTTCCAAAATTCAGTTGTATTCCTTACCTTTTAAATATTTTTGTCTTTCAGGAGTCGTAAGAAAGCAGTGGGAGTTGAAGTCATTGTCAAGTGCTTGCGATCTTTTACAAGAAAATCTCACTGAATGATAGTCATTTAAATTGGTGAAGTAGCAAGACCAATTATTAAAGGTGACAGTACACAGGAAACATTACAATTGAACAATGCCTCAGCTATACATTTACATCAGATTATTGGGAGCCTATTTGTTCATCATTTCTCGTGTTCAAGGTAAATCAGTGTTCATTTTAGTAATGTATGTGTGTATATAAAAAGCACTATTTCTTGCTTCTGTTCTTTCAACTCATCCCTGTTTGAATAGTTAGGCCCAGCCTACTAGGGCAGCTTTTAGGAAAGAAGCAAAGATGAAACACGTGCCAAATAATTTTTTAACTTGGCTGTGATGGAAACATTTTCAAGTATTTTTGAAATCTCAGTCTGAGTCTGTCTTCTCCTTCACAACATAGGCGTAATGATACACAGCATTAGGTCTTGTGAGGATTAAATGAGATAAAGTATGTAAAGCCACCTCAGTTAGTAGCTGAAAGACAGGGTAATAGGTAGTCCAGGCTGAGCTTCAAAATTCCTCTCTCCTTTAAAATACAATAAGGAGCAAGTGTAAATAATAATTGAAAAATCATTTTATTGGCCAGGCACAGTGGCTCACACCTGTAATCCCAGCGCTTTGGGAGGCCGAGGTGGGCGGATCATGAGGTCAGGAGTTCAAGACCAGCCTGGGCAACATGGCAAAACCTCATCTTTACCAAAAAATACAAAAATTAGCCGGGGGCCTGTAATCCCAGCTACTCGGGAGGCTGAGGCAGGAGAATCACTTGAACCCCGGGAGGTGGAAGCTGCAGTGAGCTGAGATCGCACCAATGCACTCTAGCCTGGGCGACAGAGCAAGACTCTTGTCCCTGCCCCAACCAAAAAATTTCATTTTATTGTTGTTAAAAGACTTTAGAAAGATAACTGACACTTGTCTGTGCTGAATACTAAAATTTCTTCATAGAGCACTGACAGTTTGTTTATGACCAATAAAGTAATTTTGCTACTATGTGTTCACAGCTTAGAACTCCCAAACAGGAAGTTATTGTGATGACTCTTAGGACCAGATGGCCTGTATTTGCACATAAGCTTTTTCCTGTATGGTTTAAGTAGGATAATATTTTAAGCTGAAAAGACAGTACTGTTTTGCAAGAGGATTTTAGATAAAACTTACTGGATGTCTTCGTTCTCAAGTTTTTTACTTCACAGGTTGCTTTTTCCTAATGTTTTGATCACAGTGATCTGGATTAATATCTGCTGTTAAGAAGAAACATGATTAACACCATAAAGCTTTTGATATTTTCATCTTTTTTTTTTTTTTTTGAGACAGAGTCTCGCTCTGTCACCGAGGCTGGAGTACAGTGGCGCCATCTCGGCTCACTGCAAGCTCCGCCTCCCGGGTTCACGCCATTCTCTTGCCTCAGCCTCCCGAGTAGCTGGGATTACAGGCGCCCACCATCACGCCCAGCTAATTTTTTGTATTTTTAGTAGAGACGGGGTTTCACCGTGTTAGCCAGGATGGTCTCGATCTCCTGACCTCGTGATCCACCCACTTCGGCCTCCCAAAGTGCTGGCATTACAGGCGTGAGCCACTGTGCCTGGCTGATATTTTCATCTTAAAGCACAAACATAGAATGAAATCTATAGCTTCTTTTTATTTTGCCTTAGTATTATAACAATATCCTTAGTATTACAACAATATCCTTAGTATTACCATGCTAAGAATACAGAGCCTTCAGCAAAAGCCACTTTTACTTGTGAAACACCAAATTATTTAGTACAATACCTTTACTTCAATATCTGTTACATGCCTTGTTGATCAGCATCAACCAAAGCTGCTATAGTTTTGAAGATGAGTTAAATTCATAGTAATATTATATTTGCTACCTCACTTCCAGGTAATCTCCATTTTGGCATAAATTTTTTTAAAATCTGTTTAGATCACACGTAGGCAATATGATACAAAATTCTCAGTCTTCGCCCCAGTTCACATTGTTCTATAATAAACTTTTATTAGGTGGAATAAGTTGGTAATTAGTTACTACGTAAAAGCAAAAGATCTTATTAAGAATTACATTTCTCTGATAAAGAGTGAAATTTGTTACATTTCCTTTCAAAAAATTATTTTGATAGTTGCTTCAAATAACACACAAATGTTTGCTCTTAAAGCTAAAACCAATGTAGAAAAGTTATTTCTGAGAGATCATTAGGAAGGATTGTAGAATGGTATTAATGGAAATAACTTCTGACTTTAGCTCTAGCTTTATCTTGTTTTGAATTATGTCTCAGGAAAATAAACTTATCTGTACCTTGGTTTCCTTGATGTAAAATAGAAATAATAATGCTTATCCTAGATATAAACAAGAATGTTTTGACCATCAACTGTTAGGGTATAGATTTAAGTGCTTTACATTGAGATAAAGTTACTTAGGTTTGAACAGAAAAATGAGTCATCTGATATTAACAGCTGATAGATACTTAGTTCTTATTTTTTAAGACTTGGTCACAAATTTTACAACAGGATATATTAATGTTGGATAGATATGTAGTCCCTTTTTTGGATTTTGTCACAAATTTCAGAAATGGATTTTAGTTTTAAGTAACTAATAATGACTTCAATAGAGATTTATTTTTAACATAGGTGGTAGATGTTTGCTGTACATTCAGTTATTGAGTAGTGTCAAGGCTGACATGTCTGTAATTTTCTTGACATTTCCCTTGTGGTTCCCAAGTGGTTACTATTATCTGCATTTGAGGCAGGTAAAACGGGGAAAGGGTCAGCACTGGCCTCAACTAGACCTGATACCAGGAAAGCAAAAGTGTCACAGATTTTGTCTTAAGTCTTAATCATTCCTAATAGCAAGAGCTACTGGAAAACAGAGAAACAGGATTGTCACAATTGTCTTAATCTATATCCATTGCCTAGGGCTGGGTGTGTTGTTCCCCCAAACAAAATCAGAGTTTGGTTAGCTGGGAAAAGGGGGAAAATAGGTATCAATTGGACAATTAAAAGGATCTGGGAGAGATTTAATTTTTTCCATCAATTAGAATGTTTTCCTCTACAAATAATTAAAAAAAAATTAAAAGAGCTTAAACATGACATTTTGGGCTAGGTGATTTTTATTTTTTTAAAAAAAAGTTTGAACAATAAAGAGCATGTAGTAACACACAGGAAGTCTGTATATAAGGGGACTGTAGTTGGTTATGTGGCTCATCAAGACCCAAGTTCTTTGTCTTTTCAACTGTGACATCTCTAAATGTCAGGTTAGCCACAGTGTCACAGTGTGGCTGCTGAGAGACTAGACATCACATGCAGATGAGGTAAGCTTGAGTTGACAATGCTCAGTTAAAGAAGAGGGAAATCTGTTTGTGTCTCTTTTTAATTGATAAATCTTTCCCCATTCACTCACTTCCTCTCCCCAACAGACTTCCTTCTAATCTTAGTGGCCAAAATTCATTATATGCTCTTGTGTTAAATCACTGGCAAGGGGAATGGAACTAAAATTGTTGGATTAGACCAACGATTATCTCTGCTGAGAGTAGAGGGCTGCGCTTCCCTGAATCACGTGGAGGAGGGGCAGACCCTTAATGTGTGTGTACATGTGCACATGCCTGTTGCCAGCAAGGGAAGGAGGAGAAGAATAAGAGTATCTGTTGCTGGGTACCACATTTGTTGACCTGACATCATACATATGCTAAAATGCTCATGTTGCTATGAAATTTTCAGTTCCTTTTCAAAGGGTTCTATACCCCAGAGTTGCATCCATTTAGTACATGCAGCTACTAATCCAGGACTTCTGGCTGGTGGGAAGCCCTCTCCTTCGGGTCCAGGTGCCTCTTCATGGTCCAGCAGTGTGTGGCTAAAAGCAATTATCAGTGCACAGTATATCCAGTATCCAGTGATAAAGATGAAGTGGGATAAGTACTATATAAAACTTCCATTCAGAGGAAGAAAAATTGGAAACAACCTCAGTATTCACTGCTCCATAGCATGTAGATTAATGATGCTTAACCTGTTTGTCAGCCTCCAGTTTTATTTTCTGGGAGGATTTGCCTTGTCTCTGGTGTTCCTTGGCTAGTGTTTCTGTCTTCATGGTCACATCTGAGCTGGAATTAGTGGAGGATGATCTTTGTGGAGACTGAACAGCTTTAGCGGCCTGCTTTCTGTTAGTATGGAGGTCTGATTACTGGAAATTGTCCTATGGATTGAAAACTCACAGCCTGACTGAGTCAGCCTGGGATATCTTTGGAAGTACAGTTCCTGTAAAGTTGTAGTGGTCCTACATTCTGTTTGCTCTGATCTCTTTGGTTTCACTCCATTAAACACAGTTAAATATCTTGTCTTGATGTGTGTTCTGAGAATTTCTGACCTAGCCACTGGCCTCTGCTTTGCCTGTTCTCCTGGCCTTTGGTTTAGTGACCTCCGCTCTGAGGCACTCTGCTCCTTTCCCATGCTAGAAAATGACCTGCTTTATTTGGTATTGTAGCACTTACCTATGAATAAATATTAAAATAGTACCAAATGTCAGTATTTATTCATCTTTATTGTCTTTCTCCGTCGAAGACTGTAAGCTTTAATAGATATGGGACTGTGTTTTGTTTACTCTTCTAGTCACCCAGGGCTTAAAACAGTGGCTACCACCGTGTACTCACTCAGTACATTTTGGTTTAATGGATGAATACAGTTAAAGTGAAAAAAGCAAGTTGCAAAGCTGCTTTCTTAGCCATATATTTTTACACTGACCAACCCAGTAACAACAAGCACCTGTAACAACCCAGTTGTAGTATCTGATTGTCTTTTTTCACTAAGGATCTAGAACTCCTTGGAGAAATCACTGAGTTCAAGTTCGGCAGGGAAAGAGCAAGGTGATCTTGGTATTTTGGCCAGAAAGCAAGGAAAAGTTCAAAGGATTCAGTGACCAGTTTGAATTGAATACTAATTGTAGTGGATTCAAACAAATCAAATATGTTTAAATCCACGTGTTTGTAATAACACTTAAGAAAAAAACTAGTTAGGGCTGAGGGCTGTGACTTACACCTGTACATGCCAACACTTGGGAGGCCAAGGCAGGAGGATCACTTGAGCCTCAAGAGTTTGAGAACATCCACGGCTAAACTGAGAGTCCCTTTAAAAAAAAAATAGTTTGAGACCAGCCTGGGCAACATAGAGCTGGTCTCTACAAAAAAAAAATTTTAATTAGCTGAGTGTGGTGATGTGTGCCTGTATTCCTGGCTGAGGTGGGCGGGAGAATCACTTGAGCCCGGGAGCTTGAGGCTGCAGTGAACCAATGATGACGCCACTGCACTCTAGTCTGGGCAGCAGAGCAAGACTCTGTCTCAAAAAAAGAAAACAAAACTAGTTGGTTACTGTTAAAAGATGCTAATGAAGTCATTAATTTTGAAAACTGGTAAATAGAGGGAGAAATCAAACATTAATCTTGCCTTTCTAACATGAACTGTGCCACCTGTATCCAATTAGTAGGTGAGGGAAAGCATCTCATAGATGTATTCCAAGTCATAAAAAAGAGAAATGATAGGATTAGATACATTATTTTATACTATGCCGATTGAATTAGTGAATCTAGACCTTAAAAACAGAGATAAGCAGGCATTTGGTTCCCTCCTGCCCACAACATACAGAGCAGCTGCATTTCAGCGCTCAATAGACACATGTGACTTGTGGCTACCATATTGGACAGCACAGCTCTCGAGCTAATTACCATTTACAAAATCCATAGAGAACAAGAGGACATGTTAAATGATGCCAGGAGGATGTGATCAGAAATTCCAGACTGTGGTAAATACTATACTAGTAAATACCGGACAAGTTACCCAATGTCTACAAGTAAATCTCAAGGACAGGAAGAGGCAGAAGAAACTGGTAGATTAAGAGACTTGGAGACAACCAGCTTATTTGGATCCTGATTCAAGGAAACTACTAAAGTAATTTGTAATATTTATGATACAATTGGAAATTAGAAAGCAATTTATAACATTTATAATATAATTGGAAATTTGAACATTGCCTTGATGTTTGATGATATTGGTAAGGATAAGGAATTACTATTAATTTTTTTAGGTGTGATAACTGTGTTTTTTTTTTAAGTTCTTTTAGAGATACACATTGAAATATTTACAGATAAATGGACATATCTGGTATTAGCTTCATAATTATATGAAAGGGGGAGGGAGTGAAACAAGAAGGGCCATGAATTCATCATTATAAAAGCTGGGCTGTATGGGTATGTGTGGGTTCATTGTACAGTTTTCTCTACTTTTATAAAAGGTTTCTGGCCAGGTGCAGTGGCTCAGGAGTTCGAGACCAGCCTGGCCAACATGGTGAAACCCTGTCTCTACTAAAAATACGAAAATTAGCCGGGCATGGTGGCATGTGCCTGTAGTCACAGCTACTCGGGAGGCTGAGGTGGGAGGATCGCTTGAACCAGGGAGGTGGAGGTTGCAGTGAGCCGAGATTGGGCCACTGAACTCCAGCCTGGGCAACAGAGTGAGACCCTGTCTCAAAAAAATAAAAAGTTTTCTGGAAGAATACTTCATTTCAAACATATATATGTAAATGAATAGAAAAAGGACAAGAAGCATATACATCAAACGGATAATGGTGGTTATGTTTAAGGAGTGGGAAGGGGATTAGATGGGCCCAAAGAGGACTTTTTGGTTTACTTGTGGGGCTCAATTTTTTTTTGGATGCTATGAGAATATATTGTTGTTTTATTTGAGTATTTTAAAAACTACTTTTAGGAAAAAAAAAAAAAAAGACCCAACACGGTGGCTCATGTCATGTCTATAATCCCAGCACATTGGGAGGCTGAGACGGGCGGATCACCTGAGGTCAGGAGTTCGAGACCAGCCTGGCCAACATGGAGAAACCCCGTCTCTACTAAAAATACAAAAAATTAGCCAGGTGTGGTGGCACATGCCTGTAATCCCAGCTACTCGGGAGGCTGAGGCAGGAGAATCGCTTGAACCTGGGAGGCGGAGGTTGCCGTGAGCTGTCATGCCACTGTACTCCAGCCTGGGCAACAGGAGCGAAAACGCCATCTCAAAAAACAAACAAAAAAACCATCAAAAACTACTTATAGGAAAAATACTTATTTCAAGCATATGTCTAAGTAGAGAGAATAATATAATGAAACTCCATGAACTTGTCACTCAGTTTTGACAGTATCAACTGATGACCAAGGCTGTTTCCTCTCTACCCCCATGCACTTCTCCCTCACCCACGTCACCCTTGGATTATCGTGGGTAATTTTGAAATAATATTTCAGTTAAGTATAAGACACCTTGGCTGGGCACGTTAGCTCATGCCTGTAATCACAGCATTTTGGGAGGCTGAGGCAGGCAGATCACTTGAGGTCAGGAGTTCAAGACCAGCCTGCCAGCACTTTGGGAGGCCGAGGTGGGCGGATCATGAGGTCAGGAGATAGAGACCATCCTGGCTAACACGGTGAAACCCCGTCTCTACTACAAATACAAAAAATTAGCCGGGCGTGGTGGCGGGCGCCTGTAGTCCCAGCTACTCAGGAGGCTGAGGCAGGAGAATGGTGTGAACCCGGGAGGCGGAGCTTGTAGTGAGCCGAGATCACGCCACTGCACTCTAGCCTGGGCGACAGAGCGAGACTCCGTCTCAAAAAAAAAAAAAAAAAAAAAGACCAGCCTGGCCAACATGGTGAAACACCGTCTCTACTAAAAATACAAAAATTAGCCGGGCGTGGTGGCAGGCGCCTGTATCCCAGCTACTTGGGAGGCTGAGGCAGGATAACTGCTTCAACCCAGGAGGCAGAGGTTGCAGCGAGTGGAGATCGTGCCATTGTACTCCAGCCTGGGCAACAGAGTGAGACTCCATTTCAAAACAAAAAAAACAAAAAGCAAAATTCCTCAAAGGCCACATACTGTGATCATAATGCAATAAAAGGAGTTCAACAGTGTAAACTTTGTTTGAGCGTATGACTTTTTTTTTTTTTTTTCTATTTGAGACGAGTCTTGCTCTGTGGCCCAGGCTGGAGTGCAGTGGCACAATCTCAGCTCACTGCAACCTCCATCTCCTGGGTTCAAGCGATTCTCCTGCCTCAGCCTGCTGAGTAGCTGGGATAACAGGTAGACACCACCACACTCGGCTAATTTTTGTATTTTTAGTAGGGTTTCGCCATGTTGGCCAGGCTGGTTTGAACTCCTGAGCTCAGGTGATCCACCCACCTCGGCCTCCCAAGGTGCTGGGGTTACAGGCCTGAACCACCATTCCCTGCCAGCCTGCTGGGTTCTTAAGCGATCCTTCCGCCTCAGCCACCCAAGTACCTGGAACTACAGGTGTGCTCCACCACACGCAGCTAATTTTTTAAATTTTTTGTAGAGACCAGGTCTCAGCATGTTTCCCAGGCTGGTCTTGAACTCCTGAGCTCAAGCATCCTACCTTCCTGGACCTCCGTAAGTGCTAGGATTACAGGCATGAGCCACCATGCCTGGCAAACACATGATTTTTTTTTTTTTTTTTTTTTTTTTTTTTTTTTTTTTGAGATGGAGTCTCACTCTGTTGACCAGGCTGGAGTGCATTGGTGTGATCTTGTCTCACTACATCCTCCACCTCCCTGGTTCAAGTGATTCCTTTGTCTCAGCCTCCTGAGTAGCTGGATTACAGGCTCACAGCACCATGCCCAGCTAATTTGTTGTATTTTTAGTAGAGACAAGAGTTTCACCATGTTGGCCAGACTGGTCTCAAACTCCTGACCTCAGGCAGTCCACCCGCCTCGGCCTCCCAAGGTGCTGGGACTACAGGCGTGAGCCACCGCGCCTGGCCAAGCATATGATTTTTAATGCAATAACTATATTCATGTTTCTAGAAGCTTTTTTTTGCCATTCAGTGACATTATGGATGACACTGCATGTCAGTATGTGTCGGACATGTGTCAGCATGTGTCGGAATGTATCAACCCATTTTTGATAATGGGTTCAGAACCAAGTTTGATTAATGTTAACTGATTTATGCAGTTTTTATGTTCAACTGAAATACATCTAACTATAATTTTTTATTGGCCTTCCAAAAGTGTCATAAAATAAGCCTAATCATTCACATATCCTATCAGATGTGAAAAGCCCATTTCTATGCTTTCTGGCCCTGCCGCAAAATCTTTTCTTTTCTTCTCCCTTTGATTTTCCTCCTAGACCAACGTAGTATGACAGAACTTTGTTTGGTGATGGAAATTTCTATATCAGTAATTTGCAAACTATAGCCCACAAACTAAATCCAGCGCATTGCTGCATTTTGTGCTGCTCATGAGTGAAGAATGGTGTTTTTGCATTTTTAAGTGATTGAAGAAAAATCAAGGGAATATTTAATGACACATGAAAATTATATGGAATTCAAATTTTATTATCCATAAGTAATTTTATTGGAACACACTCATGTTCATTTTTTTACATGTTGTCTGGCTGATTTTGCATTGTGTCGGCAGAATTGAATAGTTGTGACAGAGACCTTGGGGCCCACAAAACCAATACCTGTTTTCTATATCTCTGCTGTCTTGTGTGATAGCTACTAGCCAAATGTGGCTTTTGAGCACTTGAGTTGTGACTAGTGTGGGTGAGAAACTGATTTTTAATTTTACTTCATTTTAATTCGTCTACATTTTAAGTCACATGTGGCTAGTGGCTACCATATGGGACAGCACAGTTGTAGACATGCCACCTTTTCCCTAGTTCTTGCTTCCTTGTACTTGACTTTCCTTCTGCTGATGTCTTCCTGGTTTCTATTTAATTAATGATGCAGACTGTTGTTGCAGAATTCATTAGGCTACCATTGCTGATTATCTCATATGTATAGTGCATCAGTAGCCCATTGGTCTCACCAACCGTTTGCCATCTGAGTTCTGTTGTAGACATTCTATCTTAAGGTTGCGGCAGAGGGCATTTATTTGCTGTAGAAAAAGGAAGCCAATAAATTATTGGGAAAATATGAAAAATTACTTAGCCAGGAATAAAAATCTAGTAAAATCATTGATGCCAAAAATTGCTGTTGATGACAAGGACCTGTAAATGTGCCTGTGTATGGTCATGTGTCTCTTGTAACTGTTTGTCTCTTTGTATGTATATGTTTTCATTTTTTCCTGAGATGTTATACTTAAACATGTAAGCTATTAAATATTTTGTGTGTGTTTGTTTTGAAATATAACCTATACCCCCAGTCCACCCCAGGGCTCGTAGTTTATTCTTTGTAAATACACGGGACTTGTGGGTGGCGAGAGATTGACATGTTCAGAACTGACAGAAGGCCATGTGCCAAGTAAAGTGATGATGGTGAGGCCTGCAGGACCCAGATCCTGTTGGGCCCTGGGAGCACACAGTGGAGGTTGGATTTTATTCTGAGTGCATTGTGGAGCCATTGATTGGTTTTATATAGGAGTGACAGATTTGTGTTTATAAAATGTCTCTGGCTGCTCTGTGGAAAATGGATTGCAGGGACCAAGAGCAGAAGCAGAGGGAACAGTTGGAGACTTCTTACCTTAGTAGAGGCATGATGTGATGGGCCTTGGTGACAACAGCGGAGTTGGAGAAAAATGAAAACAATTGACATACATTTTGGAGGTTGAGCCAAAAGACTTTGGTAAGACCAGGTTTGAGGCAAATCAAGAGTTCATTTAAGACAAGTCAGTCAGGAGATGTCTAAGCAGGTCATGGCTAGAGGGGGTACATCCAGGAACCATCAACAGAGTGGGCGCTGTCCCCTAGGGAGAGCACAGAGAGGCTCTTTCCTGTTACTTTTCTTTGTATTCAATATCTGCTTGGTGAAATCTTGCAAGTTTTTAAGATGTAGCTTAGATTTCATTACTTTTGACACCTAAGATCAGTTTGAGTTTGACACCTAGGATGAGCCTTTTCCTTTGTTTACATGTAAACACCTCCGTATTTTGTCACTTTTTTTTTTTTTTTTTTTTGAGATGGATTTTCGCTCTTGTCGCCCAGGCTGAAGTGCAATGGCTTGATCTCTGTTCACTGCAACCTCCACCTCCCAGGTCAAGTGATTGTCCTGCCTCAGCCACCTGAATACTGGGATTACAGGCGCCTTGC
Organism: Homo sapiens; assembly: GCF_000001405.40. Taxonomy (NCBI): domain Eukaryota; kingdom Metazoa; phylum Chordata; class Mammalia; order Primates; family Hominidae; genus Homo; species Homo sapiens. The sequence goes on from NC_000010.11 coordinate 86,886,982, forward strand.
CACCACGCCCAGCTAATTTTTTAATATTTTTAGTAGAGACGGGGTTTCACCATGTTGACCAGGCTGGTCTTGAACTCCTGACCTCAGGTGATGTGCCCACTTTGGCCTCCCAAAGTGCTGGGATTACAGGCGTGAGCCACCGCGCCTGGCCTTTGTATTTTGTCACTTTTCACATTGTATTTATTTGCTTTTGTGCTTATTCCCCCTCTGCTTTCCACCAAGTTTCTCAAGGCCACATATGTGGTTTTGATGCCACATCTTTGCGTTTCTAGCATTTAATACCTTGCCTGCACATAATAGACCCCTACTAAGTATTCTGTTGAATATTTGGCAATAACATAAGCTCCAGATACAACTACTGTAATTGAGTTTTTTGTCTCATGAATTCAAATAGTATTCTAGGAAGTTTCATATAACTTTGAGTTTTTTCATGTATCAGTGATCTTTTAGTGTTCTGATCTTTGTTATTAGTAACATCTTCATTTGTATACTATTTTACATGTAGTTAAGCACTTTAGTAAATATTCATTTGATCTACCTATAACCTCTTGATTTGAATTAGGCAGGAATTATTATCCCCATTTTCTATAGATAGCTGAGGTTCAGAGAGTAACTTATCTGTGCCCGTAACTGCGACTTGAACCCTTCACTTCTTGCTGTTATCTCAAGTGATATTTCTGCCACACTAAACTGCTTTTTCTGTGTCACTAGATTTTTGAAAAATCAGTTGCTGTGATATATTATATACTGTTTGTTTTCCAGAGCTGAATTGATACGTGTCTTCTGTTAATGTAATAGGATTTTAAAGCTGGTCAGGTTCCCTCACCTGTCCTCTAGTCCTGTAGCCTTATAGAGTAAATGAAGCCTGGAAAGGTGACATGGCTTGCCCAAGACCATCCAGCTAGGTAAAGCGGGGTAGGCCCATGGCAAAACAGAATCCCAGTCTCCTCATTTCCTGCTCAGTGGATTTCTTCCCTTCCTGTACCTCCTGCTTCCCCCACCCCATCTTTTACAGTTGATGTTTCTAACATAAAGGAGGTCTTTCCGCTTTGTAGCAATCAGATCCAACGGAAGCCTTGACATTATATTACGGAATTTATTTCTGAAAGGAGAGTGGTGTGGGGGGCGCGGGGATGAGTAATATATGTATGTACACAAACTTCCAGCTTTTTTTTTTTTTTTTTAAGTGTTTTCTCTCCTGGCCGGGCACGGTGGCTCATGCCTGTAATCCCAGCACTTTGGGAGACTGAGGCAAGTGGATCACTTGAGGTCAGGAGTTTGAGACCAGCCTGGCCAACATGGTGAAACCCTGTCTCTACCAACAAAATACAAAAAAATTAGCTAGGCGTTGTGTGGGGTGCCTGTAATCCCAGCTACTCGGGAGTCTGAGGCAGGAGAATTGCTTGAACCTGGGAGGCGGAGGTTGCAGTGAGTCGAGATTGCACCAGTGCACTCCAGCTTGGGTGACAGAGTGAGACTCTATCTCAAATAAAAATGTTCTCTATACTCATTCAGTAGCAAATTCTTTTACTAAATATTCGGTATAAGAAAGTGAAGGTTATTGGCCAGGCATAGTGGCTCACGGCTATATTCCCAGCACTTCGGGAGGCTGAGGCGGGAGGATCGCTTGAGCCCAGGAGTTCAAGACCAACCTGAGCAGTATAGGGAGACCTTGTCCCTACAAAGAATTTAAAAATTAGCCGGGCATGGTGGCATGTGCCCTTGGTCCCAGCTACTCCAGAGGCTGAGGTGGGAGGATCACTTGAGCCTGGGAGGTTGAGGCTGCAGTGAGCTCTGATCACATCACTGTACTCCAGCCTGGGCAATAGCGTGAGACCATGTCTCAAAAAAAAAAAAAAAAAAAGTGAAAATTATTGAAACTGAAGGCATGTAATCATCAAAACACTATTTAGCAGCACTTTTTCTGTTACCTGTGTGTGCATATGTGATATTTTTTGTCTTTTCAGTAGTTTATCTCATCAGTATGGTAAATGTAAAATCAAGTCTGTGTTGTGTCTTGAACCACTTATTTAACATTCATAATGAAATACATATACACTTGTCTGTTTGGTTCCACCTTTCATTCCCTTGAGAGTAACCCACAAAGAATGGCCTAGCTGAGTCAGAGAGAGGAAGTAATTACTAGAACAGTTTTTTTAGTTCCGTTCTGCTTCCAGCCTGAAAGATTTAGTACCAAATATGACAGTATCTGTCACTGCAGGCTGCTAGACTCTAGTGTAAGAACATAGTTCTATTTCTGTGAGCTAACTGCTGCCCTTCTATAACCTTCAGTTTCTGCCAGCATCGTCTGCATTCAAACCAATGACCTCGAGGTGAAAATCTCCAGATAACATGATTGGTCCCCATGCTCTCATGATTTCCTTACTTAAGCAATTAAAGGCCAAAGCAAGATGCTTAGTAACTCCTTTTCCACATAGAGGCACAAATAAAGGAAAGCTGGTCACAAGTTTTGAACCAAAGAGTTAAAAGAAGAATCATAACTTGTCTCTATTTAATGATTGGAAACTCTCACAGACTTCTGTGAAGTCTCTCCCCCTTTTGTACCTTTCTTACAAGTGATGACTATATACTTTTACCTGGCAGGGGAGAGACCACGGTCACGAAGGTGGTTTTCCCAGGGCGAGGCTTATTCATTGCACTCCAGATGTGCTGACCCCTGCGATTTCCCCAAATGTGGGAAACTCAACTGCATAATTGTGGTGGTGGGGGACTGCGTTCATGCTTTTCCCTGGTTAAATTAAAAAATTTTTAAGTTATTTTAAAAATATAAAAAACAAGATTTGACTGTATTCTGCCTTGCGCCACTCTTGTTTGTCTTTCACTAGTGCAAAAATTGTGATATAGCTGTCTTCATGTACCCCGCAATACCTGGTGCAGTAATTCTGTGCATAATAATGTATGTCTGTTTGTTGTATGAATGAAATTTATATTTCTAAAGAAACATGCTAGCTACAATTATTGTGATAAGAAAGCTTAACAACTTTTTCTCATTGAAAATTGTCACGAAACAATGAGCTTTTCAGAAATGATTTACTTACAAATTCCATATTTGAATGCAGGACAGAATCTGGATAGTATGCTTCATGGCACTGGGATGAAATCAGACTCCGACCAGAAAAAGTCAGAAAATGGAGTAACCTTAGCACCAGAGGATACCTTGCCTTTTTTAAAGTGCTATTGCTCAGGGCACTGTCCAGATGATGCTATTAATAACACATGCATGTAAGTATTTTATGCAGCCCTTCTTAAGAGTTAGGAGAATAGAGTTGCATTTAGTGCTATTTTAAGAATTATTAAACTTGTCTGCGGTTTTTTTTTCATTCATATATAGTATCTTTCCAGAAAGCCAAAAAGCCTTTTGTTTTGTATATTAGAACATTATTCCATTAAATGATTGATAGGTGAGTTACTATATTAGAATTATGTTATAATGCAGCTTTTAAAATAAGATCAAAGGGATCTAGTATTTAACATCTGAGTTTTTAATGATCTTTTAATCTTAAATTTATTGATGCTCATTTTAGAAAACTTAGAGGTTACCAAAAAAGAAATCAGAAAACTCACTGACAACCTCCTACTTCTTTTTAATTTAAAAAAAAATTTTTTTTTTAACTATAGACAGGATCTTGCTATGTTGCCCAGGCTGGTCTCAAACTCCTGGGCTCAAGCAGTCCTTCCACCTCAGCCTCCCAAAGTGCTGGGATTACTAGGGTGAGCTGCCACACCTGGCCTCCTACTTCTTAATTAGTTGAAATATTTTGCAGATATATATAAATCATATTGTGTTAATTAATTTTATGCTTTTTTCTTACCTGTGAATTTACCAATCCAAATCTGATTTATAAAATGATTTTAATTTTTCTAGTGTATTTCGTGTTAGCTGCACAACATGTTTATATATGATCATGTAATTCTAGTCCATATTTGTTGGAAACATTGACATATTGACTTAATAAGACCAAAAAAAATTGCCTGAACAACTCAACCTCATCAGTCAATTAATTGTCTCCTTGTTATAGAGGCAATAATGAATGTCATGTTTTATACTTTTAATAATTGTATGTTCCCTGAATGGACCAGATAGAAAGCATGAAACTTTACACGTAAACTCTTGAACCTGCATGACGGTCATCGTGTCTTAGGTTTGCTGCTTGTCCCCTGGTGGTGGTGGGCTCTGCGTGGCTGACTGTGACTAGTTGTTCATTTTTACCTTGGTGAGAGTTTGCCAGCAGGGAACTGCTCTCTGCTATGTCACCAAATAATGTTTTGCTAAACTTCTTGTCTGTAGTACCTGCCTGATGTAATGGGCTGTCTGTTAGTAGCTTAGTAACCCAGAGTAAAACTGAATCATCCATTTTAACAGAATTCTGCCCCACACTTAACATTTTCTCCTAACAGAAAACCAAGAATTCTGCAAAATTCTTCTAAGTAGAAGCAGCACAATTCCTGATATTAACAATAAATAGGAGTACAGAAAAAGCTTTTAGAAATTTCTCCCATACCTGTTAAAGTCTATATGAATATATTAAGGGGAAACTCCAGGATGCTAACACTAAAATAAGAATTTCATTATATATGTATGTAAATTTATTGAAAATTTATTCAAAAGTCCTCTCCCTGTTTTCCCATCATATTCAGTAAAAGGTGCCTTTTAGTCCCCTTTTTTTTGGTCATTAAGCCTATTTGTATGTTTCAGAGAAAAGTTTGTTTTTATCTATTATCATATACAATATGGAAGTACTGAAAAAATGGGTAAAAAGAGACAAAGTTATTTTAAAGTATGTTTTCAAAACATGACATAAAATTTTATAAATCAGCTTTCTGTGATCACATGACTGATTAGCAAAGAGAAGTCACATAACTCCTATGTGGAGGACTTGTTTAATTGAAATCCTTTTCTTCTTGACAAAGGGTTGTCACTGGCCTTTTAGATCTTGGCTCAGACATAACTTTCATTTGTCTTAAAACCTCTGGCGTTGCCAATAAATCACGTGTGAATGCAATTCTAAGTCACAAAACAAAGTATTAAAGGCCATCTGTACCTGTTCACATTCAGACTCAAATTTCGTTAGTACTTTCTATGTGAATTTATGTTTTGTTTTGTTTTGTTTTTTTCTGTTTTAGAACTAATGGACATTGCTTTGCCATCATAGAAGAAGATGACCAGGGAGAAACCACATTAGCTTCAGGGTGTATGAAATATGAAGGATCTGATTTTCAGTGCAAAGTAAGATATAATTTGGGACCCATGAGACAAAGAAGGGAGGGGCCATATGAAAGCATCGATTTCCCCCAGGAGAAACATGCCTGGTGTACACATCGCTGTATGTTCACATCAGTAAATATATTGGAGGAATACCTACTGTCTAGATTCTGTCCTGTATTCATATGTAGAATTTATAACTAAATCATTTCTGAAAAGCTAATTGTTTGATTACAATTTCCTTTTTTATTTCCATAGACAGCACCTGGCTCTGTTGCCCAGGCTGGAGTGCAGTGCTGCGATCTCCGCTCACTGCAACCTCAAGCCAGCCTCCTGCCTCAGCCTTCTGAATAGCTGAGACTACAGGTGCATGCCACTATACCTGGCTAATTTTTGTATTTTTTGTAGAGACAAGGTTTTACCATGTTGCCCAGGCTGGTCTCAAACTCCTGGGCTCAAGCAGTCTGCCCGCATCGGCCCGCAAAGTGCTGGGATTACAGGTGTGAGCCACTGTGCCCAGCCTGATTACAGTTTTCTTTGTTCTCTACTTGGGAGGCTGAGGCAGAAGAATTGCTTGAGCCGGGGAGGCCAAGGTTGCAGTTAGCCGAGATCGTTCCACGGTACTGCAGCCTGGGCCACAGAGCAAGACCCTGTCTCAAAAAAAAAAAAAAAAAAATTCTTTTTTCTTTTTTTAAATTTTAACCGTCTTTGGCTACTGATTACAATTTTCAATGAGAAAAAGTTTCTAAACTTTCTTATCACAATAATTGCAGCTAACGTTTCTTTAAAAATAAAAATTTTATTCAAGTAATATGATTATGGTAATTTAAGTTCCAGGTTATTTTACCTTAAAAAAAGTTTTAAATCATCCTAGGTTGTCATGACTGCAAAAAAATTATATTGTCACACTTATTTGTAGATTATAAAATTTACTGAGAAGACTTTTAAGATAGTGGCAGTAACCTTTGTATCACTCTGAGACAACTTAGAAATGTTAAAGATATACTGCAAACTCTAGGGTAACCACTAAAGTTGAAAAAAAAATGTTAAGGCCTTGTAAGGAGGTGTCAGTGGAGCTCTTTAAAAGCAGCAGCAAAGGAATCAGGATGGTAATAGTTTATGAGCATCCTGATGGCTCTGGGTTATAAACCTGATCTCTTCAAAATTCTGCATAGTGATTTTGTCCCAGGAGATCCTTCCAGTGTTTCTGAAAACCAGCTCCAGATAGAATTGTTTGTGCATAATTTAAGTCTCAGCTATGTTAGAAAATTGTTCCTATTATTTGGAAATTCTCAGGATGGAGGCCGGGCGCGGTGGCTCACGCCTGTAATCCCAGCACTTTGGGAAGCCGAGGCGGGTGGATCACGAGGTCTGGAGATCAAGACCATCCGGCTAACATGGTGAAACTCCGTCTCTACTAAAAATACAAAAAATTAGCTGGACGTGGTGGCGGGTGCCTGTCGTCCCAGCTACTCGGGAGGCTGAGGCAGGAGAATGGCATGAACCCGGGAGGTGGAGCTTGCAGTGAGCTGAGATCGCACCACTGCACTCCAGCCTGGGCAACAGAGCGAGACTCTGTCTCAAAAAAAAAAAAGAAAAGAAATTCTCAGGATGGATAGAAACCTTAAAGGTTATGTTTCAACCTCTCAGCTAATGTTTGGAATCACCCTTGTTGCAAATGACTGCAAATCTATCTTCCTTTCTGACTCTTTGGACCATAGAGAACAAACCTAATCTCTCTTTAAGATGACAGCCCTTTACTAAGTAAAAAAAGTGCTTCATCCTACTAGTCTTTGCCCAGTGAAAATAATTGTCCATAATGACCTCAACTGCTCCTTATATGATCAGCTTTAGAGTTATTCAGTCTCCACTTCCTCAGTGTAATATGCAGAATTGAGTGTGATATGACCAAGGAAAAAAGTAGAGAATAAATAGCCCTGTTCCCTTTTTCTAAACATAGTCTTGTGTTAGATATTTGGCAGTCATGCCATATTCTTGAACCATTGAGCCTTCTGTCCGCTGAAGTCCCTATGCTACTCACTCATGCTGCTGCTAAGCCACATCTCCTCCACTCTTCATTGGTGCTGTTGGTTTCTTCACACAAATAAGTAGATGGGAATGGAATGAGGTTTTCCTATACAGTTGTTACATACTTGTCTTTATGAATTTTATCGTATAAGCATTAATCCTTTGCTCTAATTTGTTGGGATTTAAAGGATGCTAATTTCGTTGTTCCAGTTTTAGGCTATTTGCGTATTTATCAAGCACACATACTATACATTTTTTAATCACTTAAAAAATTGAAGAAAGAGCTATGGTTAGGGTACTGAGCCCAGCAGTAATAACCAGTGTTCAACAGGCCCCTAGTGTAGGCCTGTCCTAAGCTGAATTCACCATTATAAGTTAGTTGTTAAACTTGACAAGCTGTTCAAATCTATATACTATATATGTGAACCTTCGGACAAGGTGCTCTGCTCTCGTTTTCTCATCCATGAAGGAATTACTATGAGGATCAAATGAGATACATGTAAATAGTTTAGCACAATTAGCACATAGTAAGGGCTTAATAGATGTTAGCTTTGACCATATTGATTCTTTAATAGAGCAGTCTTCATGCTGTTACCCATATCCCTGGGTACACTCAGACTGTGTTATACAAGGGTAACGGGCACGTTGATAGTTTTAAGGGAATCAGTTTTTGGATCCTAAACTTCAGTAGGTCCTGTTGCTGAATATTTCTCTGCCTGAGAACAGAACTTCTCAAGCAGTTCTCTTTCCCTTAGTCACTTTTCATAGTCAACCCCTCCTAGTTTACAAATAGAAGGCCTGAGGTGTAAAACTTCAAGGTTCCAAACGGTGTTGTAATTCGAAGTAAAGGCATCAGTGTAGGCTATGTCGGGATATCAAATAAGTGTTTACATGACAGATGGTTTTCAATTGTTTGCTTTCAACCAAGTTGCTGGATCATTGAAAATAATTTTCGATGATAGGATCTTTATGGCACTTTTAGCATATGCTTTGGAAGGACTTTAAACAATTATGGGCTGATCGTGGTGGCACGGTGGCCCCAGCCTGTAATCCCAGCACTTTGGGAGGCCGAGGCGAGCAGATCATCTGAGGTCAGGACTTAGAGACCAGCCTGATCAACATGGCGACACCCCGTCTCTACTGATAATACAAAACTTAGTCAGGCGTGGTGGTGCGTGCCTTTAATCCCAGCTACTTGGGAGGCTGAGACAGGAGAATTGCTTGAACACAGGAGGTGGAGGTTGCAGTGAGCCAAAATCATGCCATTGCACTCCAGCCTAGGCAGCAAGAGTGAAACTCCATCCAAAAAAAAAAAAATTATGGGACAATGGTATAATAGTCTCCTTCCGTGATCATCATCTTGCTTATGTGAATACATTGTCTTGATGATGACAAAAGGAAAAATAAGAATAAGATTAATGATGAATCTTCTCACTCTAGCAGTAATTTTTATTCATGAATTCGTGAACTGATTTGTTTCAAAAGTCCCATCCATATCATTAAGAAATGCCTGGCCAGGTGCAGTGGCTCATGCCTGTAATCCCAGCACTTTTGGAGGCCGAGGCGGGCAGATCGCTTGAGCTCACAAGTTTGAGACCAGCCTGGGCAACACGGCAGAACCCCATCTCTACAAAAATTAGCTGGGCCTGGTGGCTCACGCCTGTAATTCTAGCACTTTGGGAGGCCAAGGCAGGTGGATCACCTGAGGTCAGGAGTTTCAGACTAGCCTGGCCAACATGGTGAAACCCCGTCTCTACTAGAAATACAAAAATTAGCCGGGCGTGGTGGCACACTCCTGTAATCCCAGCTACTTGGGAGGCTGAGGCAGGAGAATCGTTTGAACCCAGGAGTTGGAGGTTGCAGTGAGCCGAGATAGCACCACTGCACTCTAGCCTGGGTAACAGAGCGAGACTCCGTCTCAAAAAAGAAAAGAAAAAAAAAAAAAAAAGCTGAGGTGGGAGGATGACTTGAGCCTGGGAGGCAGAGGTTGTAGTGAGCTGAGATCATGCAACTCCACTCTAGTGTGCGGAGTGATAGCTAGATCTTCTATCATAAAAAAAAAGAAAAAGAAAAAATGCCCTTTCCAATAACATTTTCTTAAGTTTGTATTTAATGAAGATTGTAACATATATATTGTTTTGATCAATTTTATGCTAATAATGATTATGATAAACTAGAATAATTTTCTAAGACTTAAAGACATACAGTTATAGGAAATAAAAGAATTTTTATGTACTTATCTTTGATGTGGACAGTTATATATTACTTTAGGACGTAATTATCATGGGAGATATTGAAAGGAAATAAGAGTTCAAGGAGAAATAAGAGTTCTAGTGTAAAATTTCTCATTGCTAAAAGAAGCATTTGTTCATTTATTCTTTAAAATGATGATAATGGGTATCAAATTGCAATGCTATTTAGATTCTACTGAATGCATTAAAAAATGATGTAACACTTCTATTTCAAAATGAGGTAACAATTCTATGTCAAAGTGTCATTATGTACAGTAAGCCAGAAATTATTAATATATTGCAGCCATTTAAATTTATGGTGAAAATTTTTAAGTGTCACCTGAAAAATACGTGAAGGATACGTTGCTTTTAAGAATTGGGTTACGCCAGCAAGCATTTTGACCAGCACTTATCTAACTTTCTGTATTTCTTGGTAAACGTCACCCAAGCACAGCACTCACCCAAGCACAGCTCTGTCATGCTCATCCTAACCCTTTCCCCAGTGTCTTCACGCACTGCCATGTGTGGCACAGAACAGATGTGAGTGCCTCTCACCAGGCCTCGCGTTCTTCCACTCCCCAGGCTGCATTGGTAAATTGTGCTTATTCTGTTTCCTCCTATAGGACAAATTATTTTTCAGAAACCTCACTGCCATTCCTTGTAACTTGGCGTCAGTTCCTTCCTCATATACTGTCTCCAGCCTGAGCACACTGAATAAGTTTATTTAAGTCAGAATCACTTAATTCATCAGTGCCAAGTAAATTTGTTTCCCACAAAAATTCATATTCCCCACATAAGTCTAGAAATACAAAATTGACTTGGGCAGAGGGTACGGGTGGAGAGTGCAGGAAAAGGAAAGGCTGTGTCACCCAAATTCATAATCTCGACAAACCCAATTTTTGCCTACCCAGATACATAGTTAACCTGAGTAAGACAGACGTGAGATGAGGCAGGTGTTGCTTATTCTTAGTGAAGCCACAATGGGTCTTTAGGGACTTAGAAGTTTTTTGGCTTAGTCTAGAATCTCATCTGGGATTCATGTCAAGCAAGAGGAAGGGAAGTTAATTTATTGAATATTTGTTATATGTGTATAGTATCCTGGGGATTCAGTATATTCTACCTTGTTTCCCCCCAACTACTCTATAGAGCAGATTTTTTTAAAGACAGGGTATTGCTCCATCACCCAGGCTGGAGTGCAGTGGTGCAATCACAGCTCACTGCAGCCTCAACCTCCTGGGTTCAAGTGATCCTCCCACCTCAGCCTCCTGAGTAGCTGGGACCACAGGCGTGTACCACCACACCTGGCTGATTTAAAAATTTTTTTAGAGATGGGGTCTCACTATTTTGCCCAGCCTGATCTCAGACTCCTCCGCTCAAGCCATTCTGCCACTTCAGCTTCCCAAAGTGCTAGGATTACAGGTGTGAGCCACTGTTCCCAGTTCATCTTTTTTTAACCTGTATTTTTTAGCACACTAAAGCCTAGAGATAAATTACTTGCTCAAGTTCACAAAGTGAACAACTGGCAAAGCTAGGATTCAAACTGTTTGATTCCAAAACCCTTGTATTTTCTGTAATACTATGCTCCTTAATCTGTTGGCAGAGTCTATTTTTGGCTTCTTTTTAAAAATTATTATTTTTAGAGATAGGGTCTCACTACATTGCTCAGGCTGGACTTGAACTCCTAGGTTCAAGTGATCCTCATGCCTCAGCCTCCCAAGTAGCCACCACACCCAGTTTAAAGTCTACTTTCTTTCCCTTTTAAAGAAAAGGGACGTATATAACACATATATATATAACATATATATAAACATATATACATGTTTATATGAAATGTTTATATAAAAATATAACATTCCATTATCTATTGTAGTTTCCAACACTCCATCTTTCTAAAGTCTTTAAATTACACCTGTCTTTCAGCCATCTCTCTTACAAGGGCTTTCATCTTCCTGGGATATAATTCACCTAGGTTAGAATATAGGAACTCATAAGGAATACAAACGCATCGTAAGATCTCTTCGTACATTTGGGATGTCGTTTCCCACTTAGTAGTGTTTGAGCTACCTTCGTCATCCCTGTCAGCATCCTTCATAGAGAAGAAAAAACAAGACAGGAGTTGAAGAATTGTTCGTTTTTCTCCTTATCATCCACTGTCATGTCAGCAGTACATCTGTTGCTTGGAGAAACCCCATGCTGCCAAAGAAACCCTTTCTTGGTTTTTCTTTGCACTTTTCTCTTCTGCAAGGCCAAGCTCATTTTAGCTTTCCTGGAACCGTTTTTGGATGCTTGACACTTCTTTCATTCATCGTTAGTTATATGATTTTCATTTCCTCCTCCATGTGTTTTCTCTGAATCTGGGATTATTTCAGACTCTCCAGTTTAACCCTAACTTTTTTCTCTCTCTCCTTATGATCATTTAAAAGTAAAAATTGTTTAAAAGTTATTAATAAAACTTCATTTAAAATATAAAATATGTATTTGGACATTTCCAAATGCTCTTGACCATCTTCCCAACAGAATCTGAAGTCACAGGCTCATGTTTACCTTTTTAAAGTCATAGCTGATTATACTGAGGCTTTTCCTTAATTTCCGCTTACATTCTTGTTACTTGTGTAGTGACAAACAGTTCTTTGCTATTCACATGTTGGTCAGAATGGCAGTTCTCCCCAGGCTGCAGCATTCAACTTGTCAGATATTGTGTTGTTAATCCAATAAAACATCACATGCAAGTGCTGCTGCGCTTCCAGTGACTGTGTCCTTCTCTGTGCTAGCTTTCTGCTCTCTTAGGGACAGTCTCCTTGCTGGCTGGTGGTCTGTAATCAGCTCTCAAGAATGCTTTCTGTAGTTTGTCCTTCCCTCACCATGGATGCTCAACTTGCCTCTGCATCAGGCTCATGACTTCCGACGTGGCTGGGGTAGGCAGGGTCTGCAGCGCCTCTGCACGCTCAGCTGCCTTGCTAACCAGCCTTTTCTTTGGACTACGACACCCTCCACTTTTTAGTCTGATCTTAAATCTCATCCACATCTCAGTACCACAGTGAGATTATATGTACCAGACCAGTTTATGATTGTAATTACCTAAGTTCGGGTTTGGTGTTCTAATCTAGTGTCTAACACACCATCCACATAGATATGTTCTTAAGAAAAGCCATTTTGCAGTCTTCACTATTTCAGCACAAATTTTAATCTTTCAATAATCTGTTTTTACATATAAAATTTGCAGGCCCCTTTCACTCACTGAAATAGAAATTGTATTTTATGAATACTAAAAAGACATATCAGTTTAAAATACCAAACCATTTCTAATTTTATCATTACTCTTCTTTTAGGATTCTCCAAAAGCCCAGCTACGCCGGACAATAGAATGTTGTCGGACCAATTTATGTAACCAGTATTTGCAACCCACACTGCCCCCTGTTGTCATAGGTAGGTTAGCCGAGAAAAGTCGGAGCATGCTTCTCAAATATCTTCTCTGGTTTTACAGTAACCAGGCTACCTAGAATTGAACACGTCAGATTATTTTTTCATTTCAATTGTTTACATTGTTTACTTTTATTGTCAGGTCCGTTTTTTGATGGCAGCATTCGATGGCTGGTTTTGCTCATTTCTATGGCTGTCTGCATAATTGCTATGATCATCTTCTCCAGCTGCTTTTGTTACAAGTAAGAAGATATTTATTTTGAAGCAAAATATTTTGTCAAATATTAGATGTCAACCGCTGTTTGTAAAGCCAGTTGCAGAAACCATTAACTTGTATTCTCTGGTTGTATATCTCCTTTATGTAACTAGACTATAGTTCTCTTAAGGGAAAAGGACCTTACTACCAATTAATTAATTGGGCACAATTTCATACTTCTTGTATGTTCATGATTACTTATGATTTTCTTATTAATGGAATAGTGAGCTTTCTGGCATCTGAATGTTTTCGATCTGTCCCAAGAAACCCACTGTGTTATAATTCTTTTTTTTTTTTTTGCGTTATAATTCTTTAGAAATTTGGAGCTCCAGAATTGTTTGCATGTAGCCATGATTTCAGAAGACAGTTGCCAAAAAAGAAGAGTAATAAGAGACAGTCCCTAATGGATATAAACTTTAATAATAAAACATCATACCAACCTAGATACATTAATGAAACAAGTTAGTAAACCCATAAATAAACAAACCCAAGTACATACAGCAATTTAGCATATAATAAAGGAAACACTTCAGATTACTGAGGAAAAGACGTTCGCATACCTCCTTGTTTTTATTATAATTCCTCACCCTCAACAATGGGGTACCACAGTTGAGAAATCGTGTTTTGGGTCTTTCTAGATAATAGACTTGGAATCTTCTGTTAGGGAGGTGATGCGAAAGTCATATGATTATTCAGAGTAGGAGATGGGGTCGAGAGGAGAGCTCCACATCTGAGGTAGCCATCATCCCAAATGGCCCCCAGTGATTCTCACTGCCTGGGGTTCCTCCCCTTGGGGCCAGTCCCCTCCCATAACACATCAGGGCTGATCTGTGTGACAAATAGGATATGGCAAAAGTGACTTCCAAGTCTACGTTATAAACAGCTTTGCAGCTTTCACCATGGTCTCTGGGATCACTCACTCTGGGGGAAGCCAGGCATCATGCTATGTGGACACTCAACTCTGAGAGAGGCCCACACAGGGAGGAACTGAGGCCTCTTGCCAATACCCAGCCTGCAGCCTGTCGGCCTTGGAAGTGAGCCACCTTGGAAGTGACTGCAAGCTCCTGTCAAGCTTTCACATGAGTGCAGTCTCAGCTGACATCTGACCCTGAGCTACCCAATCAAGTCACTCCTGAATGCATGATCCACAGAAACAGTGAGATAACAATTGCTGTTTTAAGCCACTCAGTTTGGGAGTGATTTGCTAACACAGTATTGGATAATCCAGTGTCCGACTTTCTGAAAATTGACTTTCAAGCAGTCTTCTTGGTGTTATTGTCACCCTCAACTTTACTTCCAGACATAACCACAATGGCCAGTTCCGAAGTTCTTGGGGGAACTCCATAGTATAAACTGGTTGCTTCTTGGTTTTCTCAATTTCTAACCTAAGAATCAGACTTTTTGGGTGTGCAAAGTCACTGCTCATTCATCTGCTTCATGAATTCCAACAGTGTTTACTGTTATTTTATCTCCTTTTCTCCTTGCCTGTTAGATAAAGAAGTTTAAAACTCTTTATTGCTGTTTTAGTGGACTAGTAAAAGCAAGCAAGTATGCTCAATCGGTTATTTTAAGCTCAAAGTCCCTTTGTCAAATAACTGAATCTTTGCCAGTAAGACAGGTGATAATATCTCAAGGTGATTTTAATTTATATTTTCATATTAAAATACTTTTTTTATACATTGGTTTCTTTATTACACAAGGGCACTGTAATGTATATATTATTTTATTTATTTATTTATTTAGAAATAGAGTCTCACTCTGTCTCCCAGGTGGAGTGCAGTGATCTCGGCTCACTGCAATCTCTGCCTCCCAGGTTCAAGCGATACTCATGCCTCAGCCTTGCAAGTAACTGGGATTACAGGTATGCACTGCCACACCTGGCTAATTTTTGTATTTTTAGTAAAGACGGGGGTTTCACCATGTTGACCAGGCTGGTCTCAAACTCCTGACCTCAAGTGATCCACCCACCTCGCCCTCCCAAATTGCTGGAATTACAGGCGTGAGCCACCGCACCTGGCCTCTAATGTGTATAGTAAAATATTGTTGAGTATGCTTTTATTTTTCTTTTAAGAAAAGAACCATCTATATTTTTATTTAAATCATGTATTCATTTTGGGGGGCCTGTTTTTCCATTGAATTGCATAGATTTTTTTCTCTTTGATTTATAGAAGCTCTTTATATTTCAGAAATCAGCCCTTTGTAATATGAGCTACCTATACTTTTCTTTTTTTGTTTTTTTTTCATGCTGCGTTACCTCAGAGCTACCTACACTTTTCACTGTGGTGTGTCTTGAGACTGCCTGCAGTGCCTTCAGCCACATAGTAAAGAACCCTATCAGCCAGGTGTGTGCTCTCTAAGCAATGGGTAGGATGTTTCTTAAGGAAATCTGTTCAGCCCAAGAGATAAAACCTAAAAATACTGCTGTTAGGGCCCAGTGAAATGGTCCAGGCAGATTATCTTACAGTGAAGCTTGTAATCAGTAAACCCTACCCATATACTAACAGCTTGCCAATCAAGGTGTCAGGCTGTGAAGGATACTGATCTCTGAGAAACCAGAAACAAGTGAGGTGAGCCTTGTGATTGCCCACCTTCTTCTCCCTGAACAGAGTTTCGGGTTGGGCATCACAGGGGGAACCCAGGTGTAGCCAGTAGCCTGTCTCAGTTCGAAGAGTTGTGAGGAAGCTACCAAGCCTAGGGAAAGAGCACCTGAAATGATTGAGAAAACAGTGTTTGGTGCTCACACAAGGCTGGGAGTAGGATCTGTTCACACCAGCTGTGAGAGTTGAAAACCCCATAATTCATAGGTTTTGGTTGAAGGACTCAGGAGGATTTTGCCTCAGTGGTGGGGAATAATTAGCCCTAGACTAAACATGGCTCTGGTCTCACCCTAAAAGCAAGCCCCAAACAGATCACACCATTTCTAAGTCACTGTATCCTAGAACAAACTCAACAGTATTTATAGGAATATAAAAATATCTGGCATCCAACAAGGTAAAATTCACAATATCTGCCATCCAATAAATGAATACTATGAATAAATGAATACATATATAAATATGGTCCATAATGAGGGAAGAAATGAAGCAATCAAAACCACTGACCCAGAACTGATATAGACCTTAGAATTAGCAATTACATTAAAATAGTTATTATAACTGTATTTTTTATGTACAAAAGTTAAATCAAGACATGGCAGATTTTGTAAAAGACCAAAATGAAACTTTAGGAAATGAAATCTATAATATCTCAGATGAAATAATATACTAGATGAAATTAGTGACAGACTGTAGAAGAAAAGATGAGTGAACATGAAGACATAGGAATGAATAGAGAATAGTGAGCTGTGGGACAACTTCAGATGGCCTAATATAGATATAATTGGAGTTCCCAGAAGAGAGGAGGGACGAAAAACATACAGAAATAATGATCAAATGTTTTCAAATTTATCTATTATTATTATTTTTATTTATTTATTTATTTATTTATTTTGAGACAGAGTCTCGCTCTGTCGCCCAGGCTGGAGTGCAGTGGCACGATCTCCGCTCAATGCAAGCTCCACCTCCCGGGTTTACGCCATTCTCTTGCTTCAGCCTTCCGAGTAGCTGGGACTACAGGCACCTGCCACCATGCCTAAGTTTTTGTATTTTTAGTAGAGACGGGGTTTCATCGTGTTAGCCAGATGGTCTCGATCTCCTGACCTCATGATCCGCCCGCCTTGGCCTCCCAAAGTGCTGGGATTACAGGCATGAGCCACCGTGCCCGGCCTATTATTTTTATTTTTGAGACAAGGTCTTGCTCTGTCACCCAGGCTGGAGTGCAGTGGTGCAATCTCAGCTCTCTGCATACTCCACCTGCTGGGTTCAAGCGATTCTCGTGCTTCAGCTTCCCAAGTAGCTGGGATTACAGGCGTGTACCACCAAGCCTGGCTAATTTTTGTATTTTTAGTAGAGATGGGGTTTCACCATGTTGGCCAGGCTGGTCTCGAACTCCTGGCCTCAAGTGATCCACCTGCCTCGGCTTCCCAAAGTGTTGGGACTATAGGCGTGAGCCACTGCACTCAGCTTTTTCAAATTTAATGAAAACCATGAATCCAGATATCTGAAAGCTCAGCAAACCCTGAGTATAAGAAACATGAAGAAAACTACATTAAGGCACATGATAATTGTATTGCTCAAAACCGATAATAAAGAAATGTTAAATGAAACAAGAAGGAAAAAAGGCAGAGTATCTACAGAGGCACAAAGTTAAGGATGACAGCAGACCTTCTGTTGGAAACAGTGCAGTCAAGAAGATAGCGAACCAACATCTTTAAAGTGCCCAAAGAAAAACATCACAGACTTTGAATTCTATAGCCAGAGAAAATATCCTTCAAAAATGAAGGTAATGTGAAGATTTCCAGTCATACAGAAAACTTGAAAGAACCCCGCCCCCTTAGACCTACCCAACAAGAAATGTGAAGGGAAGTTCTTCGGGTGGAAAGACAGGCCAGGTGAAGATAAGAATCCACATAAAAGAATGAAGATCCGGAAATGGGGATCTAAGTGACCCTGGCACAAACTAACAATATCTTTTAAGATGAACAAAAAAGACTACTCATCTGAGACTCAGGCCATGGACACTCAAGTGAGTGACCTATAACACTTCACAGAACATACAATCAGACATCAGGAACTGGTCATGTAGGCTTTTTTATAGTTCTAAACTAAATACTACATAGAACTTTGTGACTGCCCTGTTTATTTAGCTTTAGAACTTCATGTGCTAGTTCAGTCTGTGAAGATTCATTATTGATCAGATATATACAATCTGTAATTTGGAATATTCATTCATATTTAGTTGAACTTTAACAAGTCACAAGTTGTTCTCCATAGCAAACCGTAAAAGAATAAAATTAAAGTTAAAGAGAGGTCTGTCCGTCAGCATATTAAGGTTTGTCTGTTTTGTTTGCCTCATTAATATTTTGTTTCCCTTTTTTCTGATGTGATCGTTTTCCTCCAATTTAGATACGTCTGCAATTTATTCTTCAGTCTCATTTACATTCATGACCCATGATCCTCAAAACCTATACCTTCTCTAAAACCTTATCTGGAACCATGGCCTCCCTCCACTGTGGACGAGGCATCATTCTGTACCATACGCCAGTTCCTGGTTGTTTCCTCTGGCATCTTCTTTTGTAGCTCCTTTAATCCTTCAGACTGCTTAGATCCTATGATCTGCCCCCATAACACTTACTAATTTTATCTTGCATTTTTTTACATTGGCAAGTATTCGTTTACTTACTCATGCATATTTGCCAAAAGTCTGCATTTCCATTCAACAGGAATCTCATTGGTAACAGAGATTACTTAACCATTAATATTGATGATCAACTGGCTGGCTGTTTAAATTGCCACTTTCCTATTGAATTTTGAAGGGTGCCCATGGTGAATCTTGTGTGTCCCTCATGCTTGGCACACAGTGGATACTTACTCACTCTTGTTGATGTTTGCCAGCCACCTTGGCCCAGAATTTCTGCTTGGGAAATAGTATCACGGATGCATTTGTCAGATGAAAAGCCTGCTTCTGGCTTTATAATGGACCCTTTATCCTCATTGTCTTTAGGGGACTCCTGGTCCTAGAGTAGTTAAATAGTAAGAATTGAATGATTTTTTTAAGTTGCAGTGATTACAGCAAAAAAAAAAAAATTGCCAAGTAATGTTTTATTTAATAAGAAAGAAACATTTTCTGAATACCTAAAAAAGAAGCTGCCAATCAGCTTTTAAAGTGATTAAAAATAAGAAAAAATGCCCTATATGTACACATATTTTTATCACTTTCAGCACTCTCCATGTATTTAATTCCAAGTTTTAGGTCCAAGTTTTCATTTGATACCATATTCCTTCTGCCTGAAGAATTTCTTTAACCTCTTGGAGTGCAGGTCTGCTGGCTGTAAGTCCTCTCAGCTTTTGTCTGCAGTCTTTTGACTTCATTTTCCCAAGGTATTTTCACTGGCTATAGAATTCTGGATGGGCTCAAGTTTGTTTCCCTTAAAGCTGTCACTCATTATCTTCCACTTGCATGCCTTCTGACATACATTTTATCTTTGATGTATTATATGTAATTTTTTTCATGGCATCCTTTAATGTTTTCCCTTTATCTTTTAAACAGCTACAATACATTTAGAAGCGTGTGTGTGTGTTTCTTTTTTGGTATTTACTCTGCTTTGGGTTTCACTGAGCTTAGTGAATCTATGGTTTGCTATCTTTCATTATTATTGCAAAATTATCTACTATTTTTTTTAAAACACTTTGTCCTTTTGGCTGGGCGCGGTGGCTCACGCCTGTAATCCCAGCACTTTGGGAGGCCGAGGCGGGCGGATCACGAGGCCAGGAGATCGAGACCATACTGGCTAACATGGTGAAACTCCGTCTCTACCAAAAATACAAAAAAAGAAATTAGCCAGGCGTGGTGGCGGGCGCCTGTAGTCCCAGCTACTCGGGAGGCTGAGGCAGGAGGATGGCGTGAATCCGGGAGGCGGAGCTTGCAGTGAGCCGACATCGCGCCACTGCACTCCAGCCTGGGCGACAGAGTGAGACTCCGTCTCAAAAAAAAAAAAAAAAAAAAAAAAAAAAAAAAAAAAAAACACTTTGTCCTTTTATCTGTCTCTTCTGTTTTTGAGACTCCAATTATACATATTTTAGATTATTTGGTGTTGTGCCACAGCTCTTTAATTCTTCAGTTTTTCTCACTTGTTTTTTCTCTTTGTATTTTAGTTCAGGTAACTTCTATTTACCTATTTTCAAATGCACAGATTTTTTTTTTTCTTCACCTGTGTCCATCTGAGCTGTGTATTGTTGAGCTCATCAAACATTCTTCATCTTTAATAGCATGTTTTCCCTTTCTCACATTCCTGTCTGACTTCATTTTTCTGCTGAGACTCTCCATCTGTGTATTCTGTTACCACCTTCACCAGTTGCCTTCCCCTTTTAATCACAGTTCTGTGAAAGGCCCTCCTGACAGCTTCAGCACAAGTGCTGTCTGACACTTGGCCTCTTGATTGCCTGCCCTCTTGGCAGTGAGTGATTATTCCTTGCTTTTTAATGGGTCTCATAAGTTTATTTGGATGTTGTACATCATGTTAAGAATAGCAGAGATTGTCACAATGAGATATCAACCTCACCCCAATTAAAATGGCCATTATCAAAAAGAAAACAAATGCTGGGGAGGGTATGGAGAAAGGGGAACCCTAGCACACTGCTGGTGGAAATGTAAATTGGCACAGCTACTATGGAGAACAGTGTGGAGGTCCCTCAAAAAACTAAAATCAGAACTACCATATGATCTTGCAATCCCACTATTTGGTATATATCCAAAAGGAAATCAGTATATTGAAGGCCTGTTCATTCCCCTGTGTTTAAGCACTATTCATAATGGCCAAGATGTGGAATCAACCGTGTCCATCAGCAGGTGAATGGATAAAGAAAATGTGGTCCATACAGTGGAATATTACTCAACCAGAAAATTAATGAAATCCTGTTATTTTCAGCAACGTGAATGGAACTGGAGTTCATTAATGTTAAGTGAAATAAGCCAGTCATAGACAAATATTACATGTTCTCAATCATACGTGGGAGCTAAAAAGGTTGATTTCATAGAGGTGGTAAGTAGAATAACATACCAGAGGTTAGAAAGGAGGGAGGGAGGTTGGATGAAGATGGATGGATGAAGAGAGGTTGATTAAGGGGCACAAAAATACAATTACTAATAGAAGGAATAAGTTCTAGTATTTGATAGTACAGTAGGGAAATTATAGTTAGTAATTTATTGTGTATTTCAAAGTAGCTAGTCTTTAAGAGAAGAATTGTAATATTCCCAACACAAAGATACAGCCTGGGCAACATGGTGAAACCACATCTCTACAAAAAAATACAAAAATTAGCTGGGCATGGTGGTGCACATCTGTGGTCCCAGCTGCTGGGGAGGCTGAGGTGGGAGGATTGCTTGAGCCCAGGAGGCGGAGGTTGCAGTGAGCCAAGATCATGCCACTGCACTCTAGCCCAAGCGACAGAACAAGGCCCTGCCTCTTCTTCCCCACCCAAAGAAAAACAAAAGATAAATATTTGAGGTGATGGCTATCCCAGTTACTCTGATTTGTTCATTTTACATCGTATACATGCATAAGATATCACATGTACCCCCCAAAATATGTACAACTATTATACATCAGTTTTAAAAAGAACAACAGACATTGAAATAAAGACATACTCCTGAAAATGGGCATACCTCCTCTTAGGCTGTTGATAGGCAGGAGGTGTTCAGTCTAGTACGAGTCGATTTGGGTTAGGGTTTTGTTCAGTGTTTGGGCCTGTGCCTTCAATGCCTCACAAGTTTCAAATTCCTTCAGTGATGGGCTGCTGTTCATTTGCTTCGAGTTGGGGTTTAGGTGCAGAAGGAAGGGTTTTTCTCTGAGTTCCTACCTCCCCTGTAGCTTTCAGCTCTTACCACGTCATTGCACCTCTGTGGGAGTCACTGTCTATGTTCTTGTTCCTCCCACAGAGGTCATCTGCTGTTGCGTGTTATTCACATTAGAGGACAGTTGGAAAGTGAGGGGGGCGTGCCTGTTGTCCTTAGGTAGGTTCTGTGTTGCTAGACCTTAAGGGTGCAGCTTCCTCAGGGCTCTTGCACCTCCTCCCACAGAGGTAGCTGACTGCCCTGTGGTCCTCCTGTAGGATCCTATGCCCACAAGGAGAGAGGAAGGTGTCATCTTCTCCTCTTCCTCAGCATCAGAGGATCTTAGCCTGGTCAGAGCACAGGGAGCATTTCCTCTACATCCCCAAGAGGCAGAGGGACTTTGCTGCTTCTCCTCCCTCCAAAGTAATGGATCTTTGCCTGTGCTCTGGGGCAGGGGGAAGAGGGTGTGCAAGAAAGAAAACAACAGTCATGTTATACAGCGAGGGCCTTGTGTAGATAGAGTTTATGTAGTCATAATAATGCAAGCACTGAATGTTGAGCTAAACAAATAATATAACTGTAAGGAGGATGTGAGGATGGAAGTATTTCTGTTTTGGGAAGCCGCAGGGTGTTAAATGATCAGTTAAATTGTCATATTCCCCAGTGTAAGGTCAATAGTTAAAGCCTAAGACTGAAAAACTTAAAATGTCAATGTAAGGATGCTATTTAGAAATAATGAGGGCCAGCTGTGGTGGCTCACACCTGTAATCCCAGCAATTTGGGAGGCTGAGGTGGGTGGATCACTTGAGGCCAGAAGTTCGAGACCAGCGTGGCCAACTAGCGGAACCTTAACTCTACTAAAAATACAAAAATTAGCCTGGTATGGTGGTGTGTGCCTGCAGTCCCAGCTACTTGGGGTTCCCAAGAATTGATCAAACCAGGAAGGCGGGGGTTGCAGTGAGCTGAGATCACACCACTGTACTCTAGCCTGGGCGACAAGAGTGAGACCCTATCTCAAAAAAAAAAAAGAAAAAAAAGAAAAAAGAATTAGGTAAATATTAAATAAGCTTCAAAAAGTCACAATTCTTTATTCTAAGAAGTGGAAACTGGATAGGAGGAGGAGAGGAGACAAAGTATGGCTTTTTCATTACCAAGCCATGGAGAACTGTATGACATTCAAAGGTAGGCGAATAAAGATGCTTGATAAAATTAAATATTAAGTTCTATAAATATAAAATTTGATACATTTAAAACTGAATTCTAAAAGTTTATAACACAAGGGTAGGGATAAAGGTGTAGGGAAAATAGGCATTCTCATATGTTGGTGGAGGGATTCCAACTGGTTCACCCTTTAAGGAGGTCAGTAGGGCACTCCATCAAAGTTCCAAATTCAGTAATTCCTACTACAGATATGGTAGAAAATTGTATTTCACACTTGAATGCAATAAGACTAGAAACCATCCAAATATTACCAGTAGGTGGCCGGGCGCAGTGGCACACATCTGTAATCCCAGCACTTTGGGAGGCTGAAGCAGGTGGATCATTTGAGGTTAGGAGTTCAAGACCAGCCTGGCCAACATGGTGAAACCCCATCTCTACTAAAAAAAAATACAAAAATTAGCCAGGTGTGGTGGTGGGTGCCTGTAATCCCAGCTACTCGGGAGGCTGAGGCAGGGAGGATTGCTTAAACCCGGGAGGCAAAGCTTGCAGTGAGCTGAGATTGCGCCATTGCACTCCAGCCTGGAGGACAGAGTAAGACTCCATCTCAAAATAAATAAAGAAAAATAAAAATAAAGATTACCAATAGGTGAATGGTTAGCAGCTATACAGTGGAATACTATCTAGCCATTAAAGAAAAAGGTGACACTTTGTGTACTTACGTGGAATGATACCCCAGGTAAGAAGCAAGATGCAGAACGGCATCAGTGTCTCTCCAGATTACCAGAGAAACCAGAAGTAGTTTTGTTTCTAAGGAAACAGGGAAATAATTCTCTTCTAAGGAAGTGAACTTGATAGCTTAGGGATAGAGCTGGGAGGAGGATTTTTTTTTGCCATATACCCTTTTGTGTCTTTTGGATTTTAAACTATTTGAGTCAATTACCCATATAAAGTTTTAAAAATAAAATTATAATGGTTAAGTACATTGGGCTATTTATATGGAAAATACTTTAATTTGTTTCTTAGTTTCCATTATATATTATACATTCTGAATGGACCATATGACTAAATGAGAGAATCAATATGTTAAAACCAGGCCAGGCACAGTGGGTCACACCTGTAATCTCAGCAGTTTGGGAGGCCAAAGCAGGAGGATTGCTTTGAACCCAGGCTGGTCTCATCTCGAACTCCTGTGGTCAAATCAACTTCCTATCCCAGGAGTTTGAGACCAGCCTAGGCAACATGGTGAAACCTCATCTCTATGAAAAATACAAAAATTAGCCAGGCGTAGTGGAACATACCAGTAGTCCCAGCCACTTGGGAGGCTGAGGTGGGAGGATCACTTAAGCCCAGGAGGTTGAAGCTTCAGTGAGCTGAGATCGTGCCACTACACTCTAGCCTGGGTGACAGAGTGAGACCCTGTCTCAAAAAAAAAAAAAAAAAAAAAATTAAACCTTGAGAACATATTTCTTGACATTAGGATTGGAAGGTTGTCTTAAGAGACAAAAGCATGTCAAAAAGAGTAAAGATGAAGTAATTTGTCTACACTAAAATTTAAAAACTGACATAAAAATGCCATAAAGAGAATGCTGTGATAATCATGGACTGAGAAGATTGTTGAAACACAATTGTCAACATTTGGTATACAGATTATATAATGAACGCCTACAAATCAATGAGGAGAAGAGTTCAGGGAACACTTCAATTGAATAATGTGCAATAAACACAAATAGATTGATCAGGCATAGTGTCTCACGCCTGTAATCCCAGCACTTTGGGAGGCCAACATGGCAGATCGCTTGAGCTCAGGAGTTCGAGACCATCCTGGGCAACATAGCAAAACCCCATCTCTACTAAAAATACAAAAAAAGATTAGCTGGGCATGGTGGCACGTACCTGTAGTCCCAGCTACTCAGGAGGCTGAGGTGGGAGGATCGCTTGAGCCTGGGTGGCAGAGGTTGCAGTGAACTGAGATCGTACCACTGCATTCCAGCCTGGGCAACAGAGCTAGATTCTATCTCAAAAAATAAGTATTTGTTAAAAATATGAGTAGGCAGTTCACAGAAAAAAAAAAGCTGAACTGTGGAAAAAAATTCAATTTTGCTAGTAACCAGAGGAAAGCATATTAAAAGAAGGCATTGTTTCATATCTATCAAGTTGGCAAAAGTCTGAAAATATGACTTCGAGGTTTGGGTTGGAATGTAAGGAAATGTATATTGTGATTATTTGAAGTCGTATTTTTTTATAGCTAGGATGACACTTCACATCTGATTTTGATAGTGTCTTTTTACATGCCAATACACTATAGACATCTTTCTGTTTTAACATGATACATAGAACTCTGAACTCCATTTCTAGATGTATTTAACAGGATATATTATCCAATGATAAGACTAATTTGGATAGGATTCTTTCTGAGGGAAGGATAATGGTATAGAGAACCTCAAGGTTTTTCTTAGGGTTTTATAGTTTTTCATTTTTAATGTAGATTGTTTTCTGCTTTTTTAAAAGACATTATTGCAAGAGCATCTCAAGCAGACGTCGTTACAATCGTGATTTGGAACAGGATGAAGCATTTATTCCAGTTGGAGAATCACTAAAAGACCTTATTGACCAGTCACAAAGTTCTGGTAGTGGGTCTGGACTACCTTTATTGGTAAGTTAAACGTTCCTATAGACATGAATGGTGTGTTGATTTAGAATGTGTCCTCATGATGGTGGACAGTATAATTATTGCAGATCAGGGAACAATAATGGACACATTTTTTTCTCCTTATTTAGAAAGAGGTATGCAGTATTGCAAGGTGAAATTAGTTAAAAATAAGAAATATGAACCAAGAAAAATAGAATAGTCAAGTAAGATAGAGCTATAAACCAGGTTATAGGAACCAAG
The DNA here is from genome assembly GCF_000001405.40 of Homo sapiens. Taxonomy (NCBI): domain Eukaryota; kingdom Metazoa; phylum Chordata; class Mammalia; order Primates; family Hominidae; genus Homo; species Homo sapiens. Next base: position 86,912,622 of record NC_000010.11, read on the forward strand.
TCCTACAGAGAAAGGCAGGGGAAGTTAGATCACGAAGTCCTATATGAAAGGCAAGAGTTAGCTCACAAGTTTTGCTCTAAGCATTTTACCAGCCAACTTAAAGAGGAATCAGGTATAAGATTCCTTGCATCTGTAAGTTTAAACTGATTGATTGAGGGAACTGTAACTATTTCAGATTCTGAAATAAAAAAGAAGTTTCAACAGATATTCTTAGAGAGGATGCTTCTCTCAATATACTACTACCAAAACACATAGTTCAATAAAAAATAATTTTAAAGGGAATTACAAATAAATTCCAACAAATTTGGATGGATTCTTGGTATCAGGGAAAAAAAAATAATCCCAGCAGGTTCATTTATATATGGAAATACTCAGTTTTGGGTTGAAGGAACTCTTATTTGAGAGGACCTGTATTATGAACACTAGATATCCAGATAGGTTTAAGTTTTTAATTGTATTAGTTGAAAGAAACTGATCTCTTCTTATTTTATTTTATTTTACTTTATTTTATTTTAATCGTATCGAGATAGTCTTGCTCTGTCACCCAGGCTGGAGTGCAGTGGCCCAGTCTTCGGCTCACTGCAACCCCTGCTTCCCAAGTTCAAGCAATTCCCGTCTCAGCCTCCGAAGTAGCTGGAATTACCAGATGCACCACCACACCAGGCTAATTTTTTTTTTTTTTTTTTTTTGAGGGATGAGGTTTCTCCATGTTGGCCAGGCTGGTCTCAAACTCCTGGCCTCAACTGATCCTTCCACCTTGGCTCCTAAAGTGCTGGGATTACAGGTGTGAACCACCGCACCCACCCTGATCTCTAATTTTGAAATTCATCTTATTAAATAACTCTAATTGAATTGGAAAGGTAAAAGTAAAACTGCCTTCATAGGCAGACAACATGATTGTTTACGTAGAAAATCCCAAGAATGGTACAATAAAACTACTGCAGCCAGTAAATGACTTTATCAGGTTGCAGAATACAGAGTCATTGTACAAATACCATTGAATTTATAGGCTCTAGCAACAAACAATTAGGTAATTATAAAAACAGTATTTAAAATAGCATCAAAAACCATGAAATATTTAGAATAAGCCTAACAATTTATGCAAGACCTGCACACTGAAAATTATAAAACATTGCTGAAAGAAATTAATAAAGCCCTAAATAAGTGGAGATGTTTATAAATCTGAGGACTCAGTATTAAGATTTCAGTTTTCCTCAAATTGGTGTGTAATTTCATTCGAATCCAAATGAAAATCAGAGCAAACTTTTATAGCAATTGATGTATATTCTAACATTTATATGGAAATGCAAAGGACTAGAAGAGCCAAAACAATTTTGAAGTAGAAGAACAAAGAGGAATCACTACCTGATTTCTGGACTTACCGTAAAACTCAATAATGATCTCAATTTGGTACTGGCATAAGGATAGATGTATTGATGAATGGAACAGATTATGGAGTTTAGAAAGGAACATGCACTTAATATGGTTAATTGATTAAAAAAAAAAAAACAAAAAGATGCCCAAGTAATTCAATTGGAAAAAGGCAGTCCATTTAACAGATGGTGCAGGAAATATCAGGAATCCATTTACCAAGAAGTTAATCTCAGTCCTTACCTCCTCACTCTATACCAAATTAACTTGAAATGTAGCATAGACCTAAATGTAAAAGTTGAAGTATAAAACCTCTAAAAGAAAATGTCTGAAAAAATTATTCTGACCTTGGGCAGACTTCTTCAGTACATAAAAAACACAAATCATTTTTTTAATGATAAATCAGGCTTTATCAAAATTTAAAACTTCTGCTATTTAGAAGACAAGAAAATGAGAAGACAAGTCACAGATTGGCAAAACAGATCTGATACAGGGTTTTTGTGCAAAATATATAAAGACCTTTTGCAACTCAATAATAAGATAACCCAATTTTTTTAAAAAATGGACAAAAGATTTGAACAGACACTTCCCCAAAGAAGATATAAGAATGGCAAACAAGCACATGAAAAGATGCTCAGCATCAGCAGGGATATACAAATTAAACACAGTAAGATACTACTGCACATCCACTAGTATAGCTAAGACTGATAATATTAAGTGGTGCCAAAGATGTAGATCAACTAGAAATCTCATACATTGCTGGTTGGAATGCAAAATGGTATGGCTATTTTGAAAAATAGTTTGACAATTGCCTGGAAAGTTAAGGGCATACTTTCCGTACAATGAAGCAATCCTTCTGCTAATTATTTACCCAAGAGATATGAAAACTTGTCCACACCAGAGGCCTGAATGTGAATGTTTATAGCAGTTTTATTTATAATAGACATAAACTGGAAACAACCCCAAAGCTCATGAATTGCTAAATGAATAAACAAATGCTGGTACATTCATACAGTGGAATATTACTCATCAGTAAAAAGGAACAACTTCTAACACATGTAGCAGCAACAGTGGGTGAATTTCAAAAGTACTTTATGCTACATGAAAGAAGCCAGACACAAAAGGCTACACAAAAGTGATTCTCCTGCCTCAGCCTCCCAAGTAGCTGGGATTAAGGCATGCACCACCATGCCCAGCTAATTTTTGTATTTTTTTTTAAGTAGAGACAGGGTTTCACCATGTTGGCCAGGCTGGTCTTGAACTCCTGACCTCAGGTGATCCACCCGCCTCGGCCTCCCAAAGTGTTGGGATTACAGGCGTGAGCCACCACGCCTGGCCAAAAAGTGAGAATTTTTTTACGTTATTAAAATATTCTGTATCTTAATTGTGGTATTGGTGATTACATGATATAGATTTGTCCAAGGCTTGTTGAACTTTTCTCAAAAAGGGTACATTTTATATAAATTATACCTCAATAATCTTGACTTAAAAACTTACAGGCTGAGGCAGGCAGATCACTTGAGGTCAGGTGTTCGAGACCAGTCTGGCCAACATGGTGAAACCCTGTCTCTACTAAAAATACAAAAATTAGCTGGACGTGGTGGCAGATGCCTGTAATCCCAGCTGCTCGGGAGGCTGAGGCAGGAAATTGTTTTAACTGGGGAGGCAGAAGTTGCAGTGAGCTGAGATTGGCCGCCGCACTCCAGCCTGAGCAACGGAGCGAGACTCTGTCTCAAAAAAACAGAACAAAATTTACAAAAGGATTCTATAATAAATGATACATAAAGTCACTTTAGCTTTGCACTAAATCTAGTCCATTTTAGAAGCATTTCCAACTTGGAGCATAATGTTCTTTTTAATTTAGAATGATCACTAATGCTTCTGAAAATGAAAGATAACAATCCATGTACATCTTTTATTTAACAAATATTAAAGTACTTCTGATATTGTCCCAAATAAATACTTATATTCTGTGAGCAGGGGATGGAATTCAAGCAAATATATATGTAAATAAGAATAAAGTTATGATTGTGTTAAGCGCAGCAACTGAGAGGTTTTGTGTGCTATGAAGGTGTTTAAGTGAGAAAATAGCACTCTAAGTAAAGGGAACTGGATATTCAAAAAAACCCAGCGACAGGAATAAGCTTGAGTGAATTCTAAAAGTTGAGATAAGTCAAACGAGGTTTGTGGGTGGGTGGTCAAAGCAAATAATGGGACCAGGCCAGATCAGGCAGGGTCTTATAGATGGGATTTTTAAGATCTTTAACTGTTATTTGGACTTTGCTGCATAATAAACCACCCCAAAACTTAGTGATGTGAAGCAACAAACATTATTTCTCATTCTGTGAGTCTGTGGGGCAGTTCATTTGTTGGACTTGCTTAGCTAGAGCTAGGTGGTGTAGTTCACACCCTTGGCCGACAGTTCATGCTGCCATTATTTTTTGGTCACAGGGTTCCCAAAGCAGCAGGAAGGGGGCAAGCCCCAGTCCACAAACATTTGTCAGGTCTTTGCTTGCATCACGTTCGCTGTTGTTCTTTTATCCAAAGCAAGTCATGTGGCCTAAGCCCTGAGTCTGTGGACCAAGACTACCCACGACTGTGTGCACTGGGAGGGTAATTATTATGACCATTTTTGCAAACAGCCAGCCACTTGAATAACCTGTTTATGATTTCAGAATACATTGTACATTGTTTCATACTTTAAAGTACATTATGGCCGGGCATGGTGGCTCACGCCTGTAATCCCAGCATTATGGGAGGCCGGGGGTGGGGTGGATCACCTGAGGTCAGGAGTTCAAGACCAGCCTGGTCAACGTGGCTAAACCCCATCTCTACTAAAAATACAAAAAAATTAGCTGGGCATGGTGGCGGGTGTCTGTAATCCCAGCTACTTGGGAGGCTGAGGCAGGAGAATCACTTGAATCTAAAAGGTGAAGGTTGCAGTGAGCCGAGATCGCGCCACTGCACTCCATCCTGGGTGACAGAGCGAGACTCCATCTCAAAAAAAAAAAAGTACATTATAAGTTTTTAACTGGAGTTGGTTGGGTACACCATGCTTTTTGATGAGATGGACTACCCCTTTGCCAGTCTTAATGGGTTTCTTTCATCAAGAGCTCAAACCTTTTACTTTTTTCTATAAAGGTTCAGCGAACTATTGCCAAACAGATTCAGATGGTCCGGCAAGTTGGTAAAGGCCGATATGGAGAAGTATGGATGGGCAAATGGCGTGGCGAAAAAGTGGCGGTGAAAGTATTCTTTACCACTGAAGAAGCCAGCTGGTTTCGAGAAACAGAAATCTACCAAACTGTGCTAATGCGCCATGAAAACATACTTGGTGGGTACACACTGATTCAGTCAATTTCATTTTTGACAAGGCTAGTGAGGTACAGGTGGAAGCCTCCATATGTGCTTTGAAAATGTGTGAGTTCAACTATATACATTTGGCTAAAGGAAACCTAGTAGAATACACGGTTTGAATAAAACATAGTCCGGAATGCCAACCAAGATCTTTCTTTACTAACCAGCTGAAGAAACAGCAGTGAGTTTCAAATGGAAAATAATACTAGTTTATTGGACTTACTCCCATAGTAATGAAAACCCAGTCTTTTATAGATAACTTAAGCAGTGATTTAGGGTAACATTAACATATGTGCCTTTTCCCTTTCATAAGCTCAACAGCCCAACATGCAGTTTCATTGTACGTTCTGTGTTTAATGTGTGTTTCCCCCCATCTCCACATTTACACAATAGCAAAGTAATTTAGGTGTGAGCTGGTCAGTCAGGTACATAAGCCGATCTGGCTATCCTGAGTTTTCTTTTCCCTTCACCTCTTGTTTTCCTCCCTTTAATTTGGAGAGCCCATAGCATGTTGCCAAGCAGGCAATTGTATTAGTTTCCTAGGGCTGCTGTATCAATTACCACAAACTGGGTGGCTTCAACCTCCAAAACGTATTCACTCAGTTTTCGAGGCTAGAAGTTTAAAACCAAGGTGTTGGCAGAGCTGTTGTGTCTCTGAATACTCTAGAGGAGGAGCCTTCCTTGCCTCCTCTGGCTACTGGTTGGTGGCCAGGAATTTTTGGTGTTCCTTGGCTTAGTATAGACAACACTCTAGTCTCCATTTCTGTCATCAGGTGGCCTTCTCCCTGGGTGCCTGGGTCCACATTTCCACCTTACAACATCACCAGCCATTGAATTCGGGCCCACGCTAATCCTGTATGAGTCATCTTAACTTGATTACATCTGCAAAGACCCTCTTTCCAAATAAGGTCACGTTTATAGATGACATGGATTTTAGACATGAATTTTGTCGGGGAGCACTGTTCAGCTCAGTACATAGCACTCACTGACCTTTTTCTGGAGGGAAGAGGGTAGGAGAGAAAGGAAAAGAGCAGGACTGTGGGCCTGGCAGTCAACGAGCCAGACTGAAAAGGCAGCTGTGATGAGTCACTGATGGGCAAATGGGAGTTGGCTTAATTAGGAGCTAACTCTTAGTTGAACATTCTTAATTTTATAAAAGTGTCCACTTTTTGCTTTGAAATTGAGAGCCTTTTCTACTAGAGAATCATGTAGGTTGATAATATTCTCCAGGTTATTTGTATAATATGTCATCTTTTTCTTTTCTTTCCTTTTCTTTTCTTTTTTTTTTTTTTGAGACGGAGTCTCATTCTGTCGCTCAGGCTGGAGTGCAGTGGCGCCATCTTGGCTCACTGCAACCTCTGCCGCCAGGTTCAAGTGATTCTCTTGCCTCAGCCTCCAGAGTAGCCGGGACCACAGGCACTTGCCACCATGCCCAACTAATTTTTGTATTTTTAGTAGAGACGGGGTTTCGCCCTGTTGGCCAGGCTGGTCTCGAGCTCCTGACCTCAAGTGATCCTCCTGCCTTGGCCTCCCAAAGTGATACAGGTGTGAGCCACCACACCCAGCATATATGATCTTTTTCTTAATCCTATTCACTTTCATGATTATTAAGATTATTATAAATTTATTGTAGAAGTACAGATATATGTGTAAATGTAGAAATATAATTTTTAGTAACACATTCACGACTTGGTGTCAGGCGAATTAAAGTTTCACTATCTGCACATGATACCTAAGTTTTTCTCAGTATCCAGAATGAGCATTACTTCTCCCTAGCCTATCTCTGATGATAACTAACCTTTTAAACTCATCAACTGGACAGGTTTCATAGCGGCAGACATTAAAGGTACAGGTTCCTGGACTCAGCTCTATTTGATTACTGATTACCATGAAAATGGATCTCTCTATGACTTCCTGAAATGTGCTACACTGGACACCAGAGCCCTGCTTAAATTGGCTTATTCAGCTGCCTGTGGTCTGTGCCACCTGCACACAGAAATTTATGGCACCCAAGGAAAGCCCGCAATTGCTCATCGAGACCTAAAGAGCAAAAACATCCTCATCAAGAAAAATGGGAGTTGCTGCATTGCTGACCTGGGCCTTGCTGTTAAATTCAACAGGTGAGTGGTTCTTTGCCCCACTGTTTTGAAATTATTTTAATTTCCAAAAGATATTTCCCTATTTGTATTCAAGATAATGGAATTCTAAAAATGTGCATATGCTTGTTTTTAGTTACATAAATGTATAGTTGGGGGGGATTTTGTTCTTTTTACAAAAATTGTGTCCTACTTCTCCTATACATAATTCTTGATATATATATATTTTTTTGGTGTTTTTTTTTGTTTGTTTTTTGTTTTTTGTTTTTTGTTTTTTTTAAAGACAGTGTCTCACTCAGTTGCCCAGGCTGGAATATAGTAGTGTGATCTTAGCTCACTGCAACCTCGACCTCATGGGCTCAAGCAATCCTCCCACCTCAGCCTCCTGAGTAGCTGGGACTACAGGCATGCACTGCCACACCTAGCTAATGTTTTTATTTTTTGCGGAGATGGGGTCTCACTGTGTTGCCTAGGCTGGTCTCAAACTCCTAGGCTCAGCTGATCCTCCCAAAGTGCTGGGATTACAGGTGTGTGCCATATAGTCTTAGCCATCCTTCCATTTCAGCTGATGTAAATCTACTTCATTCTTTTTAACAGATGCAGAGTTTTCCATATGTGGAGGTACTGTAGTTTATTCTTAAGACCCAACTGATGAACATTAAAGGTGTCTTCAGTTGATTATGAAAAGGTTTTTTAATGAACATTGTTGTATTTTAACCATATATTATATATTTGATCCTTGTGCACTTGTACAAGCATTTCTTCATGATGGATTCCTAGAGAAGGGCCTGCTGAGGCAGTGAGTTTATACATATTAAACTATGGTATGTTGCATATTATTTCTTTCAGCAGTGTGCCTCAGTTTACACACCCGTAAGCAGTAGAGATAAGGATGTCATTTTTCTGTCACCACTTGATAGTGTCAGTATTTTAAAACAAATGCAAGTGTTAGAAATTACAAATTTTTAGGAAACCTTTGAAACCATTTTAATCTTGTAATTCTAGAATGGAGTGGCTGCTTTACATTTCAGAATTCATTTTAGGCTGTAATATAAAAGTACCAGTCTTTAAAACAACTGTAAGAGACATTTAAATCTGTTACAGTGTTCTGAGTCAGTGTAGTATTTGTTGGCTCAGATATTTATCAGATGCTATAGGAAAATACAACGCATTATATTGATCACTGCTTTAGAGTAATTATTACTAATTGTCAGTATGATCATGTAAACATTGCTAACAACAGAACTCTGTTGATGGGACCCATAAAGAAGAAAATGTAATCCTATGTCACAAAGCCTTAGTGTATCATATGAGAGTGGTAAAAGCAAGCGATTCCTCTTGTATTTTCATATTCACCACTTCTCAGACATAATTATCTACTACTTTATCTTTTTTTTTTCCTTTTCTTTTCTTTTTTTTTTTTTTTTTGAGAGAGATTCTCACTCTGTTGCCCAGGCTGGAGTGCAGTGGCATGGTCTCGGCTCACTGCAGTCTCCGCCTCCCAGGTTCAAGTAATTTTCGTGCTTCAGCCTCCCAAGTAGCTGGAATTATAGTCATGTGCCACCAACCCTGGTTAACTTTTGTATTTTATAGAGACAGTGTTTTACCATGTTGGCCAGGCTGATCTTGAACACCTGACCTCAGGTGATGCGCCCGCCTTGGCCTCCCAAAGTGCTGAGATTACAGGCATGAGCAACCGTGCCTGGCTTAACTTTATCTTATATTCAGTGTTGTCCTCTTTCTTAGACACCAGACTTATTTAGTGACAAAACCTGACCTGAACGGATGTGAGGTGTGTATTGCCCTTATCCAGTTGAGGAGGACTATCGGACTTAGTGTTTTGCTGTAGACACAGTACTGAGTACTGAGTTGGATTAAGAGTGCTGCCCCAACCCTGCTGAGGATGTCATGTAGTATGTAGCATGTATTTAAAGAAAAATCTGAAAAATGCTAAATTCCACAATGCATCTGGCCCCAAGGAGAAAAAGAAGCTTTTATAAAATAGGACAAAAATACAAGATAAACTATTTTATTTTTGGCCCTCAACTTGGACCTTGGCTTTCTTTTGTTTCAGTGACACAAATGAAGTTGATGTGCCCTTGAATACCAGGGTGGGCACCAAACGCTACATGGCTCCCGAAGTGCTGGACGAAAGCCTGAACAAAAACCACTTCCAGCCCTACATCATGGCTGACATCTACAGCTTCGGCCTAATCATTTGGGAGATGGCTCGTCGTTGTATCACAGGAGGTGGGAGTTTGAGTAGTTTCTGATTATGTTGATTTACTCATCATTTTAAAAATAACAGCTCCAGTTATATAACTTTTTAGTTTTTAATTTTTGTGGGCACATAGTAGGTGTATATATTATTGGATAAGGAGTTATTTTGATACAGGCATGCCATGTGTAATAATCACATCTTGGAGAATTGGATATCTGTCCCTTCAGACATTTATCCTTTGTTTCACCAACCAGTTATACTCCTTGAGTTATTTTTAAGTGTACAATTAAATTATTACTAACTGTAGTCCTCCCCGTTGTGCTATAAAATACCAAATACTTATTCATTCTTCTATTTTGTCTCTACTTATTAAACATCCCCCCCCATCTGCTGCTACCCTTCCCAACCTCTGGTAACCATCCTTCTGTTCTCCATGAGTTCAGTTGTTTTGATTTTTAGATCTCACAAGTAAGTGAGAACATGTGAAGTTTGTCTTTCTGTGCCTGGCTTATTTTACTTAACGTTATGACATCCAGTTCCTCCATGTTATTTCAGAAGGCAGAATCTCATTCTTTTTTCTGGCTGAATGATACTCCATTGTGTGTAGGTGCCACATTTTCTTGATGTGTTCATCTGTTGATGGTCACTTAGGTTGCTTCCACATCTTGGCTATTGTGAACAGTGCTGCAGCAAACATGAGGGTGCAGGTATCTCTTCGGTTAGCTGATTTCCTTTCTTTTGGGTATACACCTAGGAGTGCAATTGCTGGCAGTTACGTAATTTAGATGTCACATACGTCAGAGTCCCCAAGACCACCCCCAGGTTGTGCGATTTCACTTGAAGGACCACAGGACTCGGCATGTGGTTGTCCCAATGGCTAACATTTATCCCAGTGAAAGGATACAAATCAAAATCAGCCAAGTTTAGAAAACCAGGCGAGGCTTCCCAGAATCCTGTCCCAGCGGAGTCAGGGCGTGTGCTTCATTCCTCTTACTAGTTGTGACAACACATACAAAGTGTTCTCATTCGGGAAAGCTCCTTAGAGACTTGGCACCCAGAGATTTTACTGGAGGCTGGTCACATAGGCATCCTCTGCCTGGCATGTACCAGAATTCCAGCAGGAAAGCAGACGTGCAGTACACACCACATTGTTTGCACAAGCAGCCCAGGAGTGGTGAGTTACCCTCACCGTTTCCGGTAAGTTTTATATCCATGTAGGGAACTGTTTACCATTTGTGTACCCGGGCACTGGCCAAGGCCAAACCTTGCAAGCCGCCTTTCCTAAGGGAAGGTCTCAGGCCTGCTGTGTGAACCCTTATCTGCACCTCATAAGTCTTTCTACTGCAGAGCAAAATGAAACAAAATAATAAAAACTATTCATTAGTAGGAACAACCATATAAGTAAATAATTATACTTTAGGGTAAATGGCTGATTTCGCCTTGCTTATTTTTTTTAAGGAAGATTGATATGCCCTTTGTCGATGGACTCTATCACAGTTGTGATGACATCCCTGGTGGAGGTAGAGGAAATAGTTGGACATAAATAAGAGAAAAACATACATCTACTATTAAGAGTGAATCATAGTGTCTATATTTTTTCTTGTGTAAGAATCCGTTTTAGTTCCATAGTTTAGCAAAAGATGCTTACTAGATTGGTATATCTTGTCCAGCAACCATTTTTGTGCCCATGTTTTCTCATTCCCTTATAGGGATCGTGGAAGAATACCAATTGCCATATTACAACATGGTACCGAGTGATCCGTCATACGAAGATATGCGTGAGGTTGTGTGTGTCAAACGTTTGCGGCCAATTGTGTCTAATCGGTGGAACAGTGATGAAGTGAGTGGAACTCAGTCCCCTGAAGAAGTGATTCGTAAATGCCACCAAATATATTCTCTGCTCACTGAACATCTCTTTACTTTTCAGTGTCTACGAGCAGTTTTGAAGCTAATGTCAGAATGCTGGGCCCACAATCCAGCCTCCAGACTCACAGCATTGAGAATTAAGAAGACGCTTGCCAAGATGGTTGAATCCCAAGATGTAAAAATCTGATGGTTAAACCATCGGAGGAGAAACTCTAGACTGCAAGAACTGTTTTTACCCATGGCATGGGTGGAATTAGAGTGGAATAAGGATGTTAACTTGGTTCTCAGACTCTTTCTTCACTACGTGTTCACAGGCTGCTAATATTAAACCTTTCAGTACTCTTATTAGGATACAAGCTGGGAACTTCTAAACACTTCATTCTTTATATATGGACAGCTTTATTTTAAATGTGGTTTTTGATGCCTTTTTTTAAGTGGGTTTTTATGAACTGCATCAAGACTTCAATCCTGATTAGTGTCTCCAGTCAAGCTCTGGGTACTGAATTGCCTGTTCATAAAACGGTGCTTTCTGTGAAAGCCTTAAGAAGATAAATGAGCGCAGCAGAGATGGAGAAATAGACTTTGCCTTTTACCTGAGACTTTCAGTTCGTTTGTATTCTACCTTTGTAAAACAGCCTATAGATGATGATGTGTTTGGGATACTGCTTATTTTATGATAGTTTGTCCTGTGTCCTTAGTGATGTGTGTGTGTCTCCATGCACATGCACGCCGGGATTCCTCTGCTGCCATTTGAATTAGAAGAAAATAATTTATATGCATGCACAGGAAGATATTGGTGGCCGGTGGTTTTGTGCTTTAAAAATGCAATATCTGACCAAGATTCGCCAATCTCATACAAGCCATTTACTTTGCAAGTGAGATAGCTTCCCCACCAGCTTTATTTTTTAACATGAAAGCTGATGCCAAGGCCAAAAGAAGTTTAAAGCATCTGTAAATTTGGACTGTTTTCCTTCAACCACCATTTTTTTTGTGGTTATTATTTTTGTCACGGAAAGCATCCTCTCCAAAGTTGGAGCTTCTATTGCCATGAACCATGCTTACAAAGAAAGCACTTCTTATTGAAGTGAATTCCTGCATTTGATAGCAATGTAAGTGCCTATAACCATGTTCTATATTCTTTATTCTCAGTAACTTTTAAAAGGGAAGTTATTTATATTTTGTGTATAATGTGCTTTATTTGCAAATCACCCACTCCTTTACAACCATACTTTATATATGTACATACATTCATACTGTAGAAACCAGCTCATGTGTACCTCATATCCCATCCTTAAGAGAAGAAATGTTATAAAGTAGAACTAAATATAAATTTTCAGAATTAATGCATTCAAAGTAATATATCAAATCCAGGACTTTGTTAACTTCAGGTAAAAACTTCATTAGGGTAATATCATCTCAATTTTTTCAAATGAAAGGATTCTCTAATTAGAAATTTATATGTCAGAGCTGTTATAAATTTATCAACTGTCAAATATGTTCTGGACAGCTAAATCATTTGAGATTTTTGGTTTTTTGATTTCTATTCCCTAACTTGTGAAGACAATGAAAAATCAGGCAGAAATATTTAGTATCTAGTCAGTATCTGTAGCTACACTGTATAACTGTTCTTCAATAAAATGGTTCATATTTTATAGATGCCTTGTTATCTCAAGAAATCTGATTTACATAAACTTATACTTCTTTAATGCTTTTTAAATATTTATTCTGAGCAAACAATTCATGAGTACATCAAGTGAGATAGTTTTATTTGATTATAACATAAAATAAATGTGATTATATCACATCATCATCAAAAAGGTTTAAATTAAATGGGAGGAAATCAGCATATGTCCACCCATTACCAAAATTTGACTATCATTTAAGGTTAAAACTTACAAATTTGTCTGCACATCAAATTTCACAAATTTGAAAATTGCCTTAACCATTTTGATTAATAAGTTTCATCTGCCATAATTAAAGTCTGAAGTGTTCATCAAGATAAGTAAATTTGCATATGGATAATACCCAATAACTTGTTTTTTCAGAATTTTTCACCATATGTATACTGAGAAATACAAATATTTTAATCTGCGTTGCCGTATGATATGATTGCACTTAGAACACCCAATTTACTTAAATCTTGGTTTACTTTTGACTTGATACCATAATCTTTAAAATCATTTGTCATCTTTTTTTTTTTTTTTTTGAGACGGAGTCTCGCTCTGTCGCCCAGGCTGGACTGCGGACTGCAGTGGCGCAATCTCGGCTCACTGCAAGCTCCGCTTCCCGGGTTCACGCCATTCTCCTGCCTCAGCCTCCCGAGTAGCTGGGACTACAGGCGCCCGCCACCGCGCCCGGCTAATTTTTTGTATTTTTAGTAGAGACGGGGTTTCACCTTGTTAGCCAGGATGGTCTCAATCTCCTGACCTCATGATCCACCTGCCTCGGCCTCCCAAAGTTCATTTGTCATCTTAATAAAAATATAAAGACAGGCAAAGTTTATTGGAAATGTTCAAATGGTGTGTGGAAGCAAAAAATTACAGCCAGTATATGAGACCACTATTATGGTTTTTTAAAATTAACTTGGTCTAGTAAAAGTGATATCAAGAGTTAATCTTAGAAACTTGCTCAGTAAAAACATTTTCTAGTATAACATGTTCTTTAAAAAGCAAATGCTGCCGTCTTTGGAATCTTAATCTAAAAATGTGGCCGGGCGCGGTGGCTCACGCCTGTAATCCCAACACTTTGGGAGGCTGAGGCGGGTGGATCACAAGGTCAGGAGTTCAAGACCAGCCTGGCCAACATGGTGAAACCCCATCTCTACTAAAAATAAAAAACTCAGCCAGGCGTGGTGGCGGGTGCCTGTAATCCCAGCTACTCGGGAGGCTGAAGCAGGAGAATTGCTTAAAATCAGAAGGTGGAGGTTGCAGTGAGCTGAGATCGTGTCACTGCACTCCAGCCTGGGCAAAAGAGCGAAACTCCATCTCAAATAAACAAACAAATAAATAACAAAAAACAAAAATGTTGCATTAAACTTAGTTCTTGTCTCTCCTTTCCACTCTTATTCTTAAATCTGAAGCTCATCGACTAAGTGAAATATTTAAAGAATATGATAGGCCAGCAAGAAGAAGTATTATGTAGTACCATAGTTAGTAAATTCGTAAAACCTTGGAAGCCATTATTTGGTCCCACTTGCAATTTAGTGTTTTTGAAGTGTGTAGCTTCATTCAGATAGCTCTTTAAATAATTAAAATATAAAAGCAAACAACCCAAACTACCTGACTATAAACAGGAAAAGTTAACCCTCAAAGAGAGTTCTTGTGAATTCTCTTTATGCTGGCAAATAGCTCTAGGATTAAAGGCACATTAGGGTTTCCTTCAGTTTGTTTATTCTAAGCTTTTACTGTGCTTTTTACTGAACAAGTTTCTGATGTATAAAACTTGCATCTGATTTCTTTGGAAATATTTTCACAAAAGTTATTTTAATCAGTATTTTTACATTGCCTTTCCAGTGTCCAGAAGTGTTTCTAAACTTAGAAAGTGACCTATAGTTTTTTAAAATTATGTTTTCCTAGAACGTGCCAAATTTTGATTTACTCTAACAATCAGTACTTTTCTTCAGATGCTTTGTTCTGTTTAGAACAAAAATGCACTATAGTTTTTAAAGAATCATGCATCTTTGGGTTGGCCCAGGATCAAATTTGATATTGAATAATTTATTCCAGGGCAGCTTTCATAAACATACTTCATAGATGTTGTTTTGAAATGTTTCTAAATATCTAAAATCATTTCAACAGCAGAAATGATTTTTATTTTAACAAAAGATTATGATAGCCCTTGTAGTGTTTAAAAGTGGTCATATTTATTACTGACTTTGAGTCAGGTGTTAAAATAGCAGTGCCACAGCTCGTCTCTTGCCTTAGTGTGCTGCTGTGAGAGTCACAGTGGAAACTGCAGGGAGGAGGTGTGTTCCTAAGAACCAAAATCCAGCACAGCATCCTGTGAAGCCACGTGTAATGATGGTCCCATAAGGAAAGTATGTGAATATGGCTCTTGTAAAGGATTAACTATTGTAATTTTAGCTTATGCTCTGTATTCTGTTTTCTATGGAATTATTTAAGCCCTTTTAGTGACCTTTGTCCTGGCCCATTTAAAAACTAAAATGTAGTATATATTGTATAAAATGGAAATATCATTATTGCTTCATTAGGGGAAACTGTACATAGGCATTGAAAGAAGGGTAAAAGCAAGCAGTTTTATCAGGCAGTTGTAAAACACCAAAAATATAGATTCGTCTTTGACGTGTAACACACTAAATGTATTTTGTACAGCATCTGGTTTAAAAGGTGCCTTAAGAGTTTACCATTACTTGCTTTGTTCTATATACAGATTATGTCCAATGTATCATTTTGAAGTAAATAACCTTATTTTAGTATACTTTAGTGATGTGTTTTGTGATGCTACACTCAGACGGTATTGTGCATCAGAAGTCATCTGTTGAGATTTTTGTAATGATTAAGTTAGTGTATATACATATGTTCCTGAGATGTACACTTCAACTACCAGAAACCCAGTATGGAGCACAGGTAGGTACACGCTTGCCCTGTGGAGATAGAGAACTTCTAAACCTATCACGGTGCAGGGGTTTTTCCTTTAAAAAACAAGACAAAACATTGTTTTCTTTTTCCTTTTTTTTTTTTTTTTTTTGAGACGGAGTTTTGCTCTTGTTGCCCAGGCTGGAGTGCAATGGCACGATCTCAGCTCACTGCAACCTTTGCCTCCTGGGTTCAAGCAATTCTCCTGCCTCAGCCTCCCGAATAGCTGGAACTACAGGTGTTTGCCACCATGCCTGGCTAATTTTTTGTATTTTTAATAGAGACAGGGTTTCACCATGTTGGCCAGGCTGGTCTCGAACTCCTGACCTCAGGTGGCCCACTTGCCTTGGCCTCCCAAAGTGCTGAGCTTACAGGCATGAGCCACCATGCCTGGCCAAAACATTGTTTTCTGATTATGGAAATGTACTCATGGCAGAAAATTTGGGAAACAACAGCAAATAATAAAGCAAATAAAAATCACTCAAAATTCTATTGCCAGACATTATCACTATATACATTTGAGTGTTTCTTTTCAATCTTTTTTTTTGAGAGAGTCTTGCTCTGTCACTCAGGGTGGAGTGCAGTAGCGCGATCTCGGCTCAGTGCAACCTCTGCCCCCTGGGTTCAAGTGATTCTCCTGCCTCAGCCTCCCAAGTAGCCGGGATTACAGGTGTGCACCACCACGCCCGGCTAATTTTTGTATTTTAGTAGAGATGCGGTTTCACCATGTTGGCCCAGGCTGGTCTCGAACTCCTGACCTCAAGTGATCTGCCTACCTCAGCCTCCCAAAGTGCTGGGATTACAGGAGTGAGCCACTGCACCCGGCCTTATTCTTTTTTATGTTGCATTTTTTGTAATATTAGGATCCTAGTATGCCATTAAATAGCCATTGAGAACTTTTTTTTTAATGACTGCACAATATTTGACTAAGAAGATGGAGTAATTTCTGTGCTCAATCCCCTATTGAATATTTGGATTATTTTCATTGTTTTGAAAAATAGATATTAAGCATCCTTATACATAAATCTTTATTTTCTTATATTACATTTCTGAAAATGAGACTAGTGGATATGAACTTTTAAAAGATCCTTTAAGATGGAAAAACTAAGGTTCTTGGAAAACATTGCCATATTGCTACTCACAAAGCTTTTCATTTTCATTCCTGCTAGCAGTTCATGAGCTTAGAGCGATGGGATGCATTTACCTGGCCTTAAGATGCTCCTGCTGCAATGGGAAGTGAAGCCTTGGATAGCTTTCCTCCTCCTGTGCAATACTTTCTTGTCATTTTCCCACCTGCACTGAGTCCCACCGCCAGTCAGGGCTGTTTTCAGGTGTATGTGAATTCATCCCAGCAGTGTGCCTTCTGCTGCCTTTTCCTAGGGAACTGAACATGTTAAATCACAGACGCGATGTGGCACTGATTATTGTTCCTCAAAAGAAATGCGTGTCTGAAGATAGCCTCTTACAGATTCCTCACGGGAGTCTCTGTTCAGTGTCATTGTAAGTTTCTCAGAATAATCGCAGGCGCTCTGATGCAGCCTGGTAAAGAAGACTCAGTGATTTCTGGGAACTGCAAATGCTTGCCAGCTTTCCTTCTGTCTGTGGAAACACTGAATAAATGTATTCATTTCTCCTTTCCAGCAATCTGTTAGTCTCACTGCTCCATTCCAAGGTTTCTTTAATATTATTAACAGAGCAGACATTAAGAAACAGAATTGTCTAATCCTTGTTCTTCCAAAATAGGTTTAATCCTTGTAGATAGTTTCAAGCAGACAGTAAGTCAGTTACTAAGTTTTCACTTGGAGAAACATTTGCTGATAGTAGTAGCATATTGACCATTTCTGACATGTCATCCTTATATCAAGTTAGGTGCACGCTCCTACACAGCCTTGGCTCAGCGCTTGGAGCATACAGTCTTGACTGGGTGGACATAAACCGCTGAAAGTGGCCAGCAGTGAGCAGAGGCCACCTACTATCAGCGGCACTGCTGCAGGCATGGAGACTTAAATGTGTGAGTGCTGGTATAAGCAGAAGTGGGAGAGTCACCTCGATGCTGGGATCCAGATGGCGGCTTATTTCAAGTGCAGTGGCACATACAAAAAATATTTTTGGAAGGGAGCAAGGACTAGGGCTGAAAGGTTCATTCATAATCTTTTTTTCTTTTTTTTTTTAGGTGGAGTCTCGCTCTGTCACCCAGGCTGGAGCGCAATGGGGTGATCCCAGCTCACTGCAACCTCCACCTCCCGGGTTAAAGCAATTCTCCTGCCTCAGCCACCTGAGAAGTTGGGATTACAGGCGTGCACCACCACACTCAGCTAATTTTGTATTTTTAGTAGAGACGGGGTTTACCATGTGGGCCAGGCTGGTCTCGAACTCCCAACCTCAGGTGATCTGCCCACCTTGGCCTTCCAGAGTGCTGGGATTATAGGCGTGAGCCACTGCGCCCAGCCCATAATCTCCTTTTGACATAGGAATTGTTAATTCACATATTCCATCAACCTATTGCTCCTCTGAATCTTAGCAGCTTCTTGGTCTTTGTTCAAATGAAATCTAAGTCAATTCCATATCTCTCAATGTCGCTACATCCACCTCAGTGCTTATATCCTAATTTTGTCTTTTTTAGAGACAGTCTTGCACTGTCACCCAGGCTAGTGTGCAGTGGCTGTTCACAGGCATAATCATAACGCACTGTAGCCTCAAACTCCTGATCTCAAGCCATCCTCCCACCTCAGCCTCCTGAGTAGCTGGGACCATGCCACCATGCCTGGCTCACATTCTAAACATTATGCAGGAAGCTCAAAGTGAAAATCAATATGGAATGTTTATATTGAAAATATTTTTGGCTGGGTGCAGTGGCTAATGCCTCTAATCCCAGCACTCTGGGAGGCTGAGGCGGGCAGACCACCTGAGGTCAGGAGCAGCCTGGCCAACATATAGTGAAACCCTGTCTCTAAGGTACAAAAATTAGCTGGGTGTGGTGGTACTCGCCTGTAGTCCCAGCTCCTTGGGAAGCTGAGGCAGGAGAATCACTTGAACCCAGGAGGCGGAGGTTGCAGTGAGCTGAGATCGCACCACTGCATTCCAGGCTGGGCAACAGAGCAAGACTCCGTCTCTCAAAAAAAAAAAAAGAAAAAAAAATATATATATATATATACACACACACACACACACATATATATATATATATTCAAGCAATGTGAAGAAAATATTGGGCCCCCTTGTTTTTCTTTAATGGAAGAGCCATTTTTAAAAGCCAGTTTAGAATCCAGATGATGACATCTGTTGCTCTACTGTATGACTGAAATGCAGGTCAGTGTTGAAAAACATAAAAAATTGGAAGTCTCCACTGAAAGACCTACACTGCTGTGGGAGGGATTTTAATCAAGACATTTCAAAAGCAATTTTTATTACTTGATCCTGTCCTCATACTTGGCTAGGAGTTCAGCTGGAGATAGAATCTAACTCTGAAGATGATACTCCATGATCTTCTAGCATCCCTTGTCACCAGTGAGAAGTCTGATGTGGATCTAATAAGTGACATGTTATACAGGTTAACTTATTTTCAAGAAATAGAATTTTCTTTTTATTATTGATGTTGGAAGTTGAAACTGGCCATATCTAAATATATTCATTCTGTTTCTTAGTACTAATGGGATCTTTTCTTAGACCTGGGAAATTTTCTCCCATTATTTCTTTTGTTTCTTCCCTTTTTTCTTTCTTTTCCTTTTCTCTTTCTAGAACTTTCTAGAACAAATCTCAGGTCCCCTAGATGTTTCTTCCATAATTGTTACTATGCTTCTCATATGTTTCATCCTACCTTCTACTTTTGTCAGCCCATCTGAGTTTATTTCAACAGCCAAATGTTTTATTTTGAAATGATTCCAGGCTTCCATTAAAGTTTCATCAATAGTATAAGGACTGCCATTTACCCTTCACCCAGATTCATAAACTGCTAACATTGCACAATTGCTTTGTCATTCTGTGTGTGTGTGTACAGGAATCACAGAGACTCATCTTGTAATGTTTGTAATGTCCATGTATCGTGTATGCACACATTTTTTTCTGACCTATTAGAAGCAAATTACAGAGCTAATACCCCTTTATCCCTAAATACTTCAGGGATGTTCTATTACTTAACCAATTATGTACAATTATCAGAACCAGGAAAGTTCACATTGATACAATAGCAATGACCAACAATACCATAATCTATAGACCTTACTGAAGTTTTGCTAATTGTTATTTTGGTGTGGTTGGGTTTTTTGTTTGTTTGAGATAGGGTCTCACTCTGTCACCCAGGCTGGAGTACAGTGGCACAGTCATAGCTCACTTCAACCTCAAACTTTGGGCCTCAAGCGATCCTCCCGCCTCAGCCTCCCAAAGGGCTATGATTACAGGCATGAGCCACCATGCTGGCCTCATTTCCCCTTTCCTTCTCAAAAGGATTCTGGCTTTCCCTACTGCATTCATCCACGTCCACTACCCGCTCCAAGAGAGCTGAGTAATTGTCAAGCCAGGTTTGGGGAGCTTTCTTGATGGAGGGGATGGAAGGAGGGTGGTGCTCAGGCTACAGCAGGGAGAGCTTTTCTGTTTTTGAGCTAAAGACATAACAGGGTGCAGAGGCTGAGAAAAGGAGAGTTCTAAGCAACATGTCACGAGCTATGTAGCCTCTTCACACTGCTTCTGAAATAAAATCTAACAGTAGGAGTGACTTTGACATTATGTTGTGGTTTCTGCAGACAACTTGGGATTGGCCCCTGTGGGTTTGTTAAGGGCATGTTTGTCAGAGTATGGGGGCTCCCTGCTTCCAGAGGCCCAGCAGCTGCTGTGTACCTGGGGTTCAGGGCTGACGGCAGGGCTGGAGTTCTGGCACACAGTGACCCCAAGTGTGTTTATTTTTTTCCTTGTGGTGATGGTTGAACTGTTTTAGGGTTGGTTTTTGTTATTGTTTTTTTTCAACTTTTATTTTAGATTCAGGGGCTACATGTACAGATCTGTTACCTAGGTATGTTGTGTGATGCTAAGGTTTGTGGTATGATTGATGCCATCACCCACATACTGAACATAGTACCCAACAGTTAGTTTTTCAACCCTTGCCTCCCCAACATGTCTCAAGGGCTGGGTTTGAGTTTGGGGCTCCGCCCAAATCACTCCCATCTCCCCAGCAGTCTCACATGTTTGGGGTCATGATTTCCTGTTGCTGTTTCATTTCAGACCTGATCCCTTCTATTTTTCAGGAATTACTAAAATGTCCTGATGTACTTATGGTACCGTCTCTTGTTTTCCAATTGGAGATTTTTTTTTTTTTTTTTGAGATGGAGTTTCATTCACTCTTGTTGCGCAGGCTGGAGTGCAACGGCTCGATCTCAGCTCATTGCAACTTCTGCATCCCAGGTTCAAGTGATTCTCCTGCCTCAGCCTCCCGAGTAGTGGGGATTACAAGCACCCGCCACCACGCCTGGCTAATTTTTATATTTTTAGTAGAGATGGGGTTTCATCACATTGGCCAGGCTGGTCTTGAACTCGTGACCTCAGGTGATCCACCCGCCTCGGCCTCCCAAAGTGCTGAGATTACAGGCATGAGCCACCAATTTGGGGATTTTAAAATATTTTTTCCACATCAGGTTTGCAGGTACCACCGTGTGCTCCGTCCATTGTGGTGTTTTGGGTGCCACAGTGAGGGTGCTGACCGCTGGTCTGGGTAACGGGGGGTCTGCTTGCAGGACAGGAGGAGCCTCCACCCAGGTGGAGACAGGAAGTCTATCAGATGAACTTCAGAAGTCTTGCTAATCTGGGGGGGGGGTCCTAATTTTAGGACCGTTTAAACAGAAAATTTGCCCTTAAACTTGATGTTAAGGTTTTGTGAAATGCAGTCATATATGTTTTGTTGCATGGAAAACACCCTGTCCAGAAGAACCATTTCTCTAGTTCTCATCCCAGAAACTTCTGGAGTGACACATCCATGCTGTTGGCAGAGCTTGCCCGTTAGCACTTTCATGTATAATCTTCCTCTCAAAGAGGACCAACTGTATGAGGGTTGGATGACATGTACCCCTTCCAGAAGGGATCAATTCACTTCATTTACTATGGGCAGTAACTTCCAAAGGATAAGACTGCATTACCTAATGTCTCAACTGTTAACAGCAGAGCCTGACCAGTCACTGCATGATTGAGCAGAAAGAAGACACAGCACAGTCTGCAGCAGCAAGGCTCACCTGCTACTGGGCTTCTAATCTTTGTTCTGGCGTGGCCGTCTGCTTCATGCCTTGGGGCAGAATTGGTCTTGGTAACTGAGAGCTGCACCGGGGGTGGGTGATACTTAAACCTGTGGTTAAGATAATAAAATGCCAGAGGCCAGGCGTGGTGGCCCACACCTGTAATCCCAGCACTTTGGGAGGCTGAGGTGGGAGGATCATTTGAGGTCAGGAATTCAAGACCAGCCTGGCCAACATGGTGAAACCCTGTCTCTACTAAAAATACAAAAATTAGGCGGGCATAGTGGTGGGTGCCTCTAATCCCAGTTACTCGAGAGGCTGAGGCAGGAGAATTGCTTGAGCCTGGGAGGCAGAGGTTGCAGTGAGCTGAGATTGCGCCACTGCACTCCAGCGTGGGTGACAGAGCAAGACTCCGTCTCAAAAAAGAATGCCAGAATACCTAATTAGAGCTGTAAGATCAACCACCTCACACTAAAGACAAAGTTCAAGAGAGGTTGTGATTTACCCCAGGTCAAACATGAGCAGTGTGGCCTGGCATACTGTTCCTTTTAACACCGATGTTTTAGCACATTGAGTGCACAAAACTTAGTGCTAAATAAATTCTGAGGAACAAGTGAAGTAATAACTCCTAGCAAACAATGAGAAGTGCTGATAACCTTGTTAACGCCAACAAGCAACTCACTACGAAGTCCAGTCTGATTTTTTTTTTTTTTTTTTTTTGAGACAGAGTCTCGCTCTGTCTCCCAGGCTGGGGTGCAGTGTCACCATCTCAGCTCACTGCAACCTCCGCCTCCCGGGTTCAACCGATTCTCCTGCCTCAGCAATCTGATTTTCTTATAGAGAAGACTATATTCAACAAATTTTGAGTACTTAATACCAAAAAAAACCTTGTTTCTGATAGCTAGATGACTGTTTTCTCAGGCCAGTTTGCTATAGGATCTGAACTTTTTTGAAAACCATATGCTGGTATATTACAGGAATAATTGCAGCTATGAGCTGTACTGTCTAGTCCAGTATTAGTATCTTTGCCTAGTGTGGAAACTTCCAAGTGTTTTATATAGAATAAACGGAAATCATTCTACATAACAGGGCCTGGAATAATCAGTCACATTTACCCACATAGTTTCACGTTGTCCCATGTTTTTTTTACCTACTCTACCAATTATTTTTGCCCTCCAGAAGTAAATGAGGCAGAGATTTGAAGGGCATCACTTTATTCCAAAGTTGATCATTAGTGAGGGGGATTTTTACAGTCTTCTTTCCCTCCTCCCTCAGCTGCCTCCTGGTTAGAGATGCTAACAAGAATTACGATGGTCCTAAGATACTGGAGGAAGTAAAAAAGTTGAAGGCCCTACATATTTTAGTTCACGTTTGGCATTTCTTGGTCTTTACCCTATGTAAGGCAAGGAGAAAAAGACATGAAATTTAAATTACAGATAAACACAAGTGTATTAGTCCATTTTCACACTGCTATCAAGAATTGCCCAAGACTGGATAATTTATAAAGGAAAGAGGTTTAATTGACTCACTGTTCCACATGGCTGGGGAGGCCTCAGGAAACTTACAATCATGGCAGACAGTGAAGAGGAACCAAGGCATCTTCACAAGGTGGCAGGAAGGAGAATGAACACAGGAGGAACTATCAAACTTATAAAATCATCAGATCTCGTGAGAACTATCACAAGAACAGCATGGGGGAACCGCCCCCAAGATCCAATTACCTCCACCTGATCTCTCCCTTGATGTGGGGATTATAGGGATTACAATTCAAGATGATATTTTAGGTGGGGGCACAGCTAAACCATATCCTACAAGGAATGACTGAAACTAAAGATACTAATTTCCTTTCCCTTGGTTGGCCAGGCTGTCGTCTTCATTACTGACTAATAGAGACCAAGCAGGTTGGTTTAATCCCATTGCCCTCTAGTGCTTTCCAATGTTGGCCAAAATGTTGCCTCCATTTTAAACATTCCTCCTGGGGAAGAATGTCTTTCTATCATACGATAAGGGAGAAGAGAAGAGGAAGCAAGAGAAAAGTTTAAAGTGTTGTACAGAAGTTTCCAACCACAGGAGGAGCAAAACACCAAAGAAGTTGTAGAATACAGGGTGTGGTGAAGAGTTGGAGCCCAGGCCGTGCTGTCTGAGAAGGCATGCCAAGCCAAGGTTCAGGCTTCCTAGGACCATGTCCTGCCCGGAGAAGCATTCCAGTCCTTCTCATCATGGAGAAATGGCCAAGCCCCATGTGGTTACAGGGAAGCCACGTACACCACACCATCTTTGCAGAAGGTTTCCAGGGAAGAGACAGACCAACTGAATGACCTCCAGCCCATCCTTGGCCAGAGCCCCAGGCCGAGGAGAGCTGGGCGAGTCCATGATGTCTGATCAGATTGGGGCTGGGGTTCAGGTCTTAAACATCAGGAAGCCCCCAAATGCAGTGCCCGACAGGCTTCTCTTTGTTATTGATCCCTGGGTTAACTCAAACCATACTCGCTCACCCTTCTGCAGCTCAGCCATGGCAAAGACCGTTGCTGTGCTTCCACTCCCCTGCCCAGTGGTACAGACTGGAGTCCGATGGTGACCTCCAAACACCAGCTGCCCGGTGCCTGGCCCTGGGCCAAATTCAACGCTCACTGCAAACAGGTAGACACCACGCTCAGGGGCTCGGAAGTAGCCATGTTCAGGGAAGTAGCTGCTGCCAATGTTGATGTATGTGGTGTTGAACTTCACTGTCTGCAGGGCAGCCGTCCCTTCTGAAAAGCTGGCATAGAAGGCCACAGGGGATCCTGAAACATAACAGGACAGTGCTTAGTGATTCATCCCTTACACCATTGGGTGGGAAATTAAACCCTGAGACCTACCGTCCTCACCTTATTAGCAATGGAAATAGGTCACTATTTCTAGATAACCTAGATATTCCCAACAGCAGTGTTATTGCAGGAGAAAAGCTAGATGGCCAATTCTGTTTTTCACTAATAGAGAGGAAGGAAAATGCAAGTCTGTTGTCTGAGCTGGTGTACATTTTAACAAAATACTTTCATTTTTTTTTTAGACAGGGACTCACTCTGTCTCCCAGGCTGGAGTGCAGCAGTGGTCATGACTCACTGCAGCCCTTTTTTTTTTTTAACGTAGAGATGGAGTCTTACTATGTTGCCCAGGCTGATCTGGAGCTCCTGGGCTCAAGTGATCCTCCAGCCTCAGCTTCCCAAAATGTTGGGCTTGCAGGTGAGCCACCATGCCCAGCCACAAAGCACTTTCTCGTTTGATCCCTTTTCCTTCCAACTTCCTTGAGAGACAGTATCCCTGATTGACAAAACAGGTTGAATCCTTCACCGGCTGCCCAAGGCTACATGGTTTGTAAATGGCAGGCTGGGACAGGAACACGGGTCTCTGACTCCCAGACGACCACCACTTGCTAGGAATCTTGAGATACTCAGGGGAGAGGGAGAAAATATCCATCCTCAAGGTAATAATAATGCTAACACTGGGAAGGTATCTGCAGAGCCATGAAGGCTGGATCCTCCTGGATGTTGAAGACAGAACCTTGGAGAAAGAAGGAAAGAGCAGGTGGAGCCAGGGAAGAGAAGCCCCTTCAAGCTGGTCTTCTTTTTTTTAGTTGATAAAGGGTCTCTTGTTGCCCAGACTGGAGTGCATTGGCGATCATGGCTCACTGCAGCCTCAACTTCCTGGGCTCAAGCAATCCTCCCACCTCAGCCACCTGAGTAGCTGGGTCTACAGGCATACGCCATCATGCCTGGCTAATTTTTTATTTTTTGTAGAGACAGAGTCTTGCTCTGTTGCCCAGGCTGGTCTCAAACTCCTGAGCTCAAGCGGTCCTCCCACCTCAACCCCGCAAAGTGCTGGGATTACAGGTGTGAGCCACTGTTACTGGCCAAGCTGGTCATCTTACATATGGGTAAATTGAGGCCCAGAAAGAAAAAGCTTATTGCTCCAGACCACACAACTAGTAAATTACCAAGCCTCCTGGGAACAGACCTTGAATCTCTAGACTTCTGGTTCTCTGCAGGGACCACTTTGGCCAGCCTTAGGACAGGAACACTGACAGAACACTGGTGCCAGGCCCATGCACGGGCACAGAAGCAGAGGAAGCTGCCATGTGTGGAGGGTGTACAAACAGCCAGGAAGAAGCCAGTCCTGCTGCCTGGACAGCATGGTTGGGCAGCTGGGGACAGGGTCATGAGATGGCACAGGAAAGGTAAGTCCTACTTGGGTCCTGGCTGTGACACTGGCCTTGGCACCAACGAGGTCATGTCCACCATGGGGTTCCTCAACTTGCTCCCTCTGTAGGGGTTTAAAACAAGGTCCCCATTTCTTAGGTGATAAAACCAAAGCCTTCAGAGGAGCAGTTTGCTGAGCAATTACTGACTTGGGTCCCGGAACTCAAGCCTCAGCTCTTTGACTCCCAATCCAGCAAGCCTTTGTGAATAAAAAAATGTTGCTTTTCTCTAGTTCTGGAAGATTTTCTGAGAATTAGACAGCTGAGAATAGCTTTCTCATTTGTGTTCAGATTGTGTCAAATCAGCCGGGCGCAGTGGCTCACGCCTGTAATCCCAGCACTTTGGGAGGCCAAGGCGGGCGGATCACCTGAAGTCGGGAATTCGAGACCAGCGTGACCAACATGGAGAAATCCCATCTCTACTAAAAATACAAAATTAGCCAGGCGTGGTGGGGCATACCTGTAATCCCAGCTACTTGGGAGGCTGAGGCATGAGAATCGCTTGCACCCGGGAGGCGGAGGTTGCCGTGAGCCGAGATCACGCCGTTGCACTCCAGCCTGGGCAACGAGAGTGAAACTCCGTCAAAAAAAAAAAAAAAAAAAAATGCCGGGCGCAATGGCTCACGCCTGTAATCCCAGCACTTTGGAAGGCCGAGGTGGGCGGATCACGAGGTCAGGAGATAGAGACCAGCCTGGCCAACATGGTGAAATCCCGTCTCTACTAAAACTACAAAAATTAGCTGGGCATGGTGGCAGGCGCCTGTAATCCTAGCTACTCGGGAGGCTGAGGCAGGAGAATCGTTTGAACCCGGAAGGCGGAGGTTGCAGTGAGCCGAGATCGTGCCATTGCACTCCACCCTGAGCGAAAGGGCGAGACTCCGTCTCAAAAAAAAAAAAAAAAAAAAAAAAAAAAAAAAGATTGTGCCCAAGTCAGAGGCCGGCGGCTGCCTCTGCAATTCCCCTAACACCCTGCAGGTGGTTCTCTTGCCTAGCCGAAGGAAGGCCGGCCCGCAGCGCCCTCTACCGGTGCTAGGCCCTCGTTCCGGCCGTTCCGTCCGGGCGCCTGCGCAGGGAGTTCCGCCGCAGAGAGAGACCCCCACCCCAACCCAGCCTTGCGCCTGACAGGCCCTAAGATGCGGGAAGGGCTGTGCAAACTCAGAGTGTGCTTCCCTGCAGGGCACACATTCAAGCCCTACAGCCTTCCTACAAACAAATAAAGGGAAATTTGGGGTGTGTGTGTGTGTGTGTGTGTGTGTGTGTGTTTGTGTGTGTGTGTGTGTGTGTGTGTGTTTGAGACAGAGTCCTACTCTGCCGCCCAGGCTGGAGTGCAATGGAGCTATCTTGGCTCACAGCAACCTCTGCCTCCCAGGTTCAAGCGATTCTCCTGCCTCAGCCTTCCAGGTAGTTGGGATTACAGGTGCCTGCCACCACACCGGGCTAATTTTTTTTTTTTTTTTGACAGTTTCGCTCTTCTTGCCCAGGCTGGAGTGCAGTGGCGCAATCTCGGCTCACTGCAGCCTCTGCCTCCCGGGTTCAAGTGATTCTCCTGTCTCAGCCTCCCGAGTAGCTGGGATTAGGCGCCCGCCACCACACCCGGCTAATTTTGTATTTTTAGTAGAGATGGGGTTTCACCATGTTGGCCAGGCTGGTCTTGAACTCCTGACCTCAAGTGATCCACCCGCCTCGGCCTCCCAAACTGCTGGGATTATAGGCATGAGCCACTGCGCCCGGCCTGGAAATTTGTTTTTAAGAACAACATTTTTTTGAAATAAATATCGTCGTGGTAAACACATTTCCAAACCGTGGGGCAAATTCTGAAAGTCATCAGCATATTGAAGCCTTGCACCACGCACGAGAGGAAACAAGAGAGAAGTGTCAGTGTCGGTGGACACAACCTGAACCCTGAAAATGCTGGGGAAATGGGAAAACGTTGACTGCGTTCCTACATGAGGTAAGCCTCGTGCTAGGTATTTGGTAAACGCAGCAGTCTTCATAACAAAACTTTGACATGGGTAGGGATTCTGCCATTTTACTGAGGAAGAAACAGACAAGTGATGCCAGAGCCTGGGTGCTTCCCACTGCTCCACATTGCCTCTTGGGCCATAGGGAGGGTCAGCTGGGGCAGGGGCTGCCTGGGACGGGACCTTCAACAAGGCCTTGGACTTGCCACACGCCAGGCTGCACATGGCCAAGATGGTGGCCTTGTACTTAGCCCTGTGTCTGGGTGGGGAGAGGCCACAGCTCCAAGGCCAGCCTCTGGCAGAGAGAGTCACTTGAGACACAGAGCCTAGTTGTCCCCCTCCCGGGACCACACTCAGGGAGGGGATGGGAAGCTTGGTTGCACATGCCTTCAGCCTCAAAGCCAGCTCCCAGGCCCAGGGCCCTGCAGGGACCAGCCATGGAGGGCCTTCTGGAGGTGAAGAACCGGCACCCTAAAGACAGCGCTCCTCTGCTGCTCACTAGCTGTGCAAGCAGGAAACTTGTGTTTGCGCCTCAGTTTCAGGTAAGATGGAAGTGCTGATGAGTGTGTCATTGACCTGTTGGGATGGGCCATTGTGGTAAAGCCCAGGAAGGGGACTAGCACAGAGCGATGAGACAGGTTAACTGTATTTGCAGAGGGAATGAGCTCCTTTCAGGGCCCACGGCTTTCCCTGTACAGTCCACTGAGGTGTGTTCCAAGACCTTAGCAGGTGCCTGAAATCTCAGACAGTACCAAACCCTATATATACTATTTATTTTCCTCTATGTACATACCTATGCCAAAGTTTAACTTGTAAATTAGGCACAGTAAGAGATTGACAATAATAATAAAATATAAAGCAATTATAACAGTATACTGTAATAAAAGTTATATGAATGTGGTGTCTCCCTCTCTCAAAATCTTATTGTACTGTACTCACCTATTTTCTGATCGTGGTTGATGCAAGAAACTGAAATCAAGGCTGGGCACATGGCTCACACCTGTAATCCTAACACTTTAGGAGGCTGAGGTGGGCAGATTACTTGATCCCAGGAATTTGAGACCAGCCTGGGCACCATAGCAAGACCCTGTCTCTACAAAAAGTACAAAAATTAGCTAGGCATGGTGACACATGCCTGTAAGTCCTAGCTACTCTGGAGGCTGAAGTGGGAGGATCAGCTGAGCCTGGAGAGGTCTAGGCTGCAGTGAGCCATGATCCCACCACTGTACTCAAGCCTGGACGACAAAGTGAGACCCATCTTAAAAAAAAAAAAAAAAAGAAAAGAAAAAGAAAAAAAAAACAAAAAAAAAACTAAAATCATGGAAAATGAAACAGAACTAAGTGGGGCTGCAAGTGGCCACAGTCCCTATCCACATTCTTCCTAGATACAGTGGCTTAAACGCACATGGGAATGAAGGGGGTGAGGTGAAGAGATGAGATGGGGGGACTTGAAGGCTGCCCTGGCAGGGCAGGAGGCGATGCCCTCTCTGTAGCAGGAGCAGTAGGCGGCACTATTGTGCCTGTGGCCTCCAGGCTATGCCGCTCACGGGCTCTGGCACTAGCAGGTGGTTCTTGTGACTTCTGTCTCCCCATAAGCCAGGTAGCTTGAGAGACCCACACCCCTGAGAAGCAGGTGGGCCAAGGGGAAGGTGGACCTAGTAGGGGTGACGGATGGCCATCCTGTTCTCTTTCTTCCTGGCCCTCTTGGAGGCAGAAGAGCTGCCGGCAGCCGGCCCTGGCCTCCTAGGCTCGTCCAGTCTCCCCAGCCCAGGAACTCACCTGCCTCCCAGAGCGCCGCGCCCAAGGCACCTGGCACAGGCCCTGTGACCCGTATGTCCACCAAAGGCTCCGCTTCCTTCTTGTCCCTCTTCCGGGGAGCTTCCAGGTCTTTCTGCTGCTTCTTCCCTTTCCTGCTCAGCATGGTCTGCAGCTTCCCCAGGTCCAGGCTGACGTTGGCTTCCATGAGCCCTTGGAAGTTCCCAAAGAGGCTGTGGAAGAGCCGCTGGTGCTGCTCCAAGCTGCGCTGAGTGGCGAAGAGTGCGTTGTGGAGGCCGTGAAGGGAGGCGTTGAGGGAGGCGGCCCCGGCCCCGGCCTCGGCCTCGCAGCACCGCCCGACATTCTTGACGTCGTTGCTCAGGCTCTGGAGCTCCCGCGCCAGCCCGGCCAGGGCGGTGGTGGCGGCCTCCTCGCGGCCCGCGTCGTGGCTGGGCTCCAGGTGCTCTGCCGGCCGCGGGGGCTCCGAGGCCTGCTCCAGGGCCGTCACTCGGGCGGCCAGCTCGTCCCAGCCGAGCGCCTGCTCCTGCAGCCCGCTAGCGGCGTCCTGCAGGGCCACGCGGATCTGCTCGTAGCTCAGGGGCAGCGGTCCCGGCGTCTGCTCAGACATCTCCTCCAGCACCTCCTCCCCGAAGAGCGCGGCCAGCACCGCCTCGTGCCGCAGCGCGTCCTCCAGCAGGGCGGCGAAGGCGCTGTGCAGCTGGCGCACCTCGTGGCGGGCCTCGGCCGCGGCCGCCTTCAGCGCGCCCACCTCGTCATCCAGCGCCTGCACTTGGCTCCGGAGCCGCGACGTGGCCGCCCGCGCCCGCTCGCCCTCCGCTTTGTGCGCGTCCACGGCCAGCGACACGGCGTCCACGGCGTTCTGCAGGGCCTGCAGGGAGGAGCCGTCCAGCTGCCGCCGCTCGTCCAGGCTCACCTGGGTCTCCTCCAGGGCACGCGTGGCGTCCCTCTGGCCCTCCCGGATGACGTCCAGGTCTAAATAGAGCTTCTGGCAATTGCAGTCCTTCACGTACTTGATGAGGTCGGCATGGCCACCCTGCAGGTGCTGCAGCGTGAGGTTGAGCTCCAGGAGCTGCCGCTCCACCTCCTCCTTGTTCTCCTCCATGATCAGAGACTTCTCCATCAGGATCACGCGCAGCTCACGGAGCGCCGTGTGGTTCACCTGCAGCTCCTCCACCTGCCGCTCCACCTTGCTAATCTGATCGAAAGTCTCGTCCGATTCGGAGTACAGTTCCTTGATCTCATCCACGTGCCGGGTCAGGGTGGCCCTCATGTCCTCCAGGGTGTACTGCAACTCCTCCTCCCTGCGGGCCGTGGTCATGTGCAGCTCTGAGAGGTTCCTCTGCAGCTGGCCCAGCCTGGCCTGCAGGCTGTCCGGCTCAGGCCTTGCCCCAGCCCCAGGCGTTGCCAACACCAGACTGCCATTGGTCCCTGGGGCCTCCTGAGCCTTGTGCAGCCTCTTCAATTTGGTGTCCACATCGGCTTGGAGCTCTGAGATCGAGCGGTGCAGGGTAAAGTGCTGGGCGTGCAGGCGGTCCTCCACGTCCTGTCGCAGCTGACCCACTCTCTGAGTGTTCTCCTGGACCTTGGCCTCAAATTTGGCACCAAGCTCCTGGAAGTCAGCCCTGGCCACGGCACTGTCCTGGACTCTGGAGATGGCCTGGCGGTTGGCCTCCACGTCAAGAGACAGGTTTCTTATGGCCTGGGTAAGGCTGTGCAGGCTTTGGTTAAAGCTCCTCCAGATGGGGCTGAAATGCACTTGTAGGAAGGTGTCCACGTGGGGTAGCAGCACCTGCTCCAAGGATCTATCAGGGAACTCTGCAACAGACATGTGGTGTGACACAAGCCCTGCAGGAGCAGACACTCCTCCCAGGCTGGGACCAGCGGGGTCCTCCCCTCCTCCCCTCAATGTGACCAGGCTCTTCCTCAGCCCCTAGAGCCTGCCACTCACCGTGCCCTGTTTGATTTGCTTCCATCACTGCAGCTGTGAGGTTACCAGGCAGGGCTTTCCACAGGCCTGGCAGGCTGTCTGCCACCCGGTGCACATCATTCTGGAGATCTCCCAGCAGATGTTCCTGCTGTTCCTGTTGCACCTCAACCTCATTGATCACTGCAGCAAGGTGGCCTAAATACACAGCAGACATAAATGTCAAGGGCTAACTCACCAGGCCTGGGAAGATCACAAGGTTCAGAGAAGGAGAGTTGAAGGCTGAGAGCAGGGAAGTTAGCTGCTGATGTCCTCTGAGCAGGAGCTTAGAAGCCTTAAACCCCTGGAGGGCAAATGCATAGCAAGTGAGCCCTCACCCTGCCTCCTACACCTACAGCAGACATGACTAATCAATCATGGTACACTCCCCTCCTCAGCACATGCACATGGCCTCACAACTTCATTCTTGGCAGCCCTTGTCAATAAATACTTCACCACATAATGAAACTCATTTACTTTCTCAATCTTGGGCCCAGCCTTAAAGGGCCCTGCTGCAAATGGTGTCTCTTGGTGGGTTTCCTGTGCTGACTCCAAGACCAAGGACAGCATGACTTCCTGGCTCTGGTTAGGGCTGTGGGAAAGGGTGAGAATGCTTTTTCCAGGCACAAGGGCTTGTGTGGTTCAGCGGGGCAAGGAAAGTGCCAGATGAACCAGTCCTTCCCAGAAGATGGGGTGAAGGAAAAGGGTGTGTGTGCTTGGCCAGTAGGCC
The DNA here is from genome assembly GCF_000001405.40 of Homo sapiens. Classification (NCBI taxonomy): domain Eukaryota; kingdom Metazoa; phylum Chordata; class Mammalia; order Primates; family Hominidae; genus Homo; species Homo sapiens. Next base: position 86,945,007 of record NC_000010.11, read on the forward strand.
GCTGGGGGCCCTGTGAGCCTGGCCTTCAAGGTGGGAGGTGGTACAGGCCACAGAGCAGGCCTTGCTGATTCTGGAGGCAAGGTTTCCCTGAAATGGCACTGCTGTATCACAGGAAAAAGGGCCAGCTGGCTACATGGGCCCCACCAGCCTGCCTGCCTTCCCCTTCCGGAAAGCAACACACCAGGTTTGAAGCTGACTGGTCCATCCTGAGGTTCCTGGTGGCTGTCACCAGGATCTGCAGGCTCAGGGATTGCCATGGAATCTGCAGAAGAAAGCATTAGTTATTGACCCCAGTGGTCAGAGGAGCTGCTTGACCTTGGGGATCAGAGGTCAAGGGGGGAAGGGGGCCGCAGGGAGCCCTACCGTGGTGCTCGCAGTTGGGGCCCGTGTAGCCAGGGCAGCACCTCCAGGCCAAAGAGGTCAGCACCTTCTGCTTGACCTGGTACACTGGCTTGTGGGCCATGCGGTACCTGGAAGAGGAGAAGGGCTGGCTCAGTGATTCCAGGGAGGGCCCGCTCCAGGCCTGGGCAAATGGCCCACCCTCCCCTACTCACATGACTTTGACTTTCTGGCAGTCTGGAGCTCCCTGCGGACACGGCTGCTGCGAGTGGATGAGGAATTTCTCTGTTTTGCAAAGAGCTAGTAAGGTGACCAGCTTGGACATTGGGTAGGGGCACCAGTTACTGGAAAACAAGCCAGAGGAGAAGGCTGCTGAGCCACACCCAGGTCAACAGGGGGTGCCAGTGCAGAGCCACCGGTCCTCGCCTCCTGCCGGAGCAGTGCTGGGATTCTGGAATCCATTATCCTGAGAAGAGAGCCTTCCGCATTATTCATCCCTGGGCTCCAGAGCAAATGTTTCACAATCCCTACCTGCAAAGAGGGCACCTGCTCCACCACCTTCCCGAAGCCTCCCCGAGCCAGCAGAGAGGCTGAGAAACCCACCACAATCTAGAACTGTGAAAAGCAGCTCCAGGGTGATGATTGTTTTAGCCAACAAAACTAACAGCCAGAGTGTGGGGAAAACACCGTGTGCACTGCAGCTGTCTGCATGGATTCCCTTTGGTGAGGTTAGCCACAGAGCCAGAAAGCTCTCGCTGTTTCTCCTGCTACCAACGTGCAGCTGGGGCTGGAGAATCCTGGGTTCGAATCCCTCACACTTTCTGGCTGTGTGACCCTGAGTGAGGCACTTAGGGAGCTTCTCTTTCCCCATCTATACAATGGCGATCGTAATGCCCTCCTTTAAGTGGGCAGAGAAGCACCAGGTGCCTGGCTCCTGACAAGCGTTCTGTGAACACAGCTCCACTGCCCCATTCCAGCTGCCCTGGCAGCCTGCCCAGTTGCTACTTACATGAGGGACCAGCTCCCTGGCCATGCCCATTAGGACCATTCTAGAAAGGGACTTTCAAACAGTTGTCCTAAGGAAAGGTAAGCAGCTGGGTGGAGCAGTGTCCTCTCTGGGATGGCCACCGCATCAAGGTCATGCAAGGTGGTTGGGGGTCACACTCAGCATCCCGCACACCTGATAGGTAGCCCTTCCATCCTGGCCCTTCACCAGCATGTACTGTGGTGGTCCCAGGAGCGGGGGGACACTCATGCTGACAGAGCCCCAGTTCACAGACCCAGTGGCTGACTCCATGGGGTCAGTGGCAGTGGTCAGAGAGCCCTTCCCCAGGCAGCCAGCTCCCAGAACAGAGCTCGTCAGAGTTGAAAGTGGCAATGATCTCTGTGGCACAGTACAGCTCAGCACCTCTTGGGTGCCGGGTGCTGCACTCAAGCTCAGGGTGTGGATGTGGAGGTGCAGACTTTCCCTTCAGGATCCCCAGGGAGAGCGGGCACTCTTAGAATGGGTGAGAAGTGCTAGGATCTGCAGAGACTTTCAGGAGAAGGAGCTAATGGGGCTGTGTCTTAAGGCCAGAAAGTCGGATGAGGCACCAGATGTGACAGGGGTGCAAGAGGGTGAGGAAGGGGCTGCAGAAGGAGGCTGGGATGAAGGGAGAAGCCAGACCTCAGCGGAGGAGCTGGCCCATGTCCTGAGGGCATGGGAAATCATGGAGGGGTTTCAGCAGGGAAGTGGCATGAAAGAGCCACCCTGGTCCCTGGGTGCAGAGATGATGGGAGGGCAAGACGTTGGCAGCTGTGTCCACGGTCTGGGGAGAGATGATGGCAACTTGGACTGAGTGATGGTGGACATGGGAGAAGTGGCCACATTTGTGGGCTCTTAGAAAGCAGCATTCAGAGGCCTTGGTGATGAAGTGGCTGTCAGTGCCGGGATTTTATTCTCTGGAGCCGGTCTTTGTCCTGGGGCCATCAAGCACTGTCACACAGGGGATAGTGTTGGGAAAGGCAGGGGCGGGGGATTCGAGTGACTTTTTTTTTTTTGAGACGGAGTCTCGCACTGTCGCTTGGGCTGGAGTGCAGTGGTGCAATCTCGGCTTGCTGCAACCTCCACCTCCCAGGTTCAAGCGATTCTCCTTGCCTCAGCCTCCCAAGTGGGCTGGGATTACAGGTGCCCACCACCAAGCCTGGCTAATTTTTTTTGTATTTTTAGTAGAGACGGGGTTTCACTATGTTGGCCAGGCTGGTCTTAAACTCCTGACCTCGTGATCCACCTGCCTCAGCCTCCCAAAGTGCTGGGATTACAGGCGTGAGCCACTGTACCCAGCCGAGTGACCATATTTTGAGTGCTGAGTCCCCAGCCTGCTTTACCCTCTCAGCAGCAGACTGGAAAAGTTTCTCAGGAAAATAAGCCAGCCCGAGAGGAAAAGACCCAAAGCTGCTGACAGCAGGGGTTCTCCCATAAAAATAGCCAACCAGAAGATCCTATGACAAAATGGGTAAGAAAGGAGTATTCATACACCCCAGCTTCCAGTCAGTTTCTCAGTCTTTCTCCTCTTAAGTGAGCAGACATCCAAGATTTACCCAAGAAACACTGTATTCCAAAAGAGGGCCAGGTACAGTGGCGCACGCCTGTAACCCCAGCACTTTGGGAGGCTGAGGTGGGAGGATCCTTGGAGCCCAGGAGTTTGAGTCCAGCCTGTGCAACGTAGTGAGACCTCATCCCTACAAAAAATTAGCCAGGTGTGGTGGCGCATGCCTGTAGTCCCAGCTATTCAGGAGGCTGAGGTAGGAGGATTGCTTGAGCCCAGAAGTTTGAGGCTGCAGTGAGCCATGATTATGCCACTACACTTCAGCCTGGGTGCACAGCAAAACCCTATCTCAAAAAAAAAAAAAAAAAAAGAGGTTGAAGTGGGCAAACAAAAAAATGTCAACCTGGACAAAAACTAAGACTGTGTAAGGAGAAGAGAACCACTCAAACATTTGTACTAAGATTTCCAGGTTGATAAAAGAAATTACTGCACCCAAGAAACAAGACCAGGAAGCTATGAAAAAAACAAATGAGGGGGAGATGGGAGAGGAAGCGTGAGCATTCAGAAAACAAAAAGGAACTCTTGGAAATTAAAAACGTAACAGTAAAAATGAAAATAAATTTAATGGAAACGTTAGAGGGTAAAGTTAAAGAAATTTCCCTAAAAGAGCAAACAGAGAGATGAAAATTGGAAAGAGAAAAGAAAAATAGACGACCAGTCTTGCAAATGTAACATCCAAGTAGTACAAATTTCAGAAAGAGAGAACAGATGGAGAAAATCATCAATGAAAAAAAATCAGGCCGGGCATGGTGGCTCATGCCTGTAATCCCAGTATTTTGGGAGGTTGAGGCAGGAGGATCACTTGAGCTCAGGAGTTCGAGACCAGCCTGAGCAACATGGCAAGATCTCAATCTCCACAAAAAAATTAAAAAATTAGCCAGGTGTGGTGATGTACACCTGTAGTCCCAGCTCCTCAGATGGCTGAGGTGGAAGGGTCCCGTGAGCCCAGGAGGTTGAGGCTTCAGTGAGCTATGATTGCGCCACTGGACTCCAGCCTGAGCAAAAGAGCGAGACCTTGTCTCAACAACAAACAAAAAACATATTCCAGAAGTTAAGGACTTCAATTTCCAGATTAAAAGCACCACCAGTTACCTGCAATATGATGAAAATACACTTACATCAAAACATGTCATATGAAATTTTAGAACTCTGGGAACAAAGATGGTTTCTACGTGCTTCCAGAGAGGAAAACCAAGACAAACACACTCATACAAAATCAGTAATTGGAATGGCTTTGAACCTCTCAACAGCAATATTGGAAACTGGAACACAGTGAAAATTGCATTCAAAATACTGAAGAAAAATAATTTACAACCCAGAATCTCATATCCAGCCTAACTATGAACCAGTGTGGGGAGTGAGAATAAAGACATTTTCAAACAACCCAGGTTTCAGAACATTTACCTCCCATGTATCCCAGTAGGAGACTACCTGATGAGCAGTGGTTTGAAATATTGCCTGCACATCAACACCATCATGCAAGCCAGGTGTGGTGGCTTGCACCTGTAATCCCAGATACTCAAGTGACTGAGGTGGGAGAACTGCTTGAGGCCTGGAGTTTGAGATCAGCCTGGAGACATAGTGAGACCCCATCTCAAAAAAAAAAAAAGACACCCAAAAACAAAACCATTGTGTGACACTTTAAAAATAATAGTCTTGGGGCTGGGTGTGGTGGCTCATGCCTGTAATTCCAGCACTTTGGGAGGCCAAGGCAGGTGGATCACTTGAGGTCAGGGGTTCCAGACCAGCCTGGCAAACATGGCAAAACCTTGTCTCCACTAAAAATACAAATATTAGCCGGGCATGGTGGTGCACGCCTGTAATCCCAGCTACTCGGGAGACTGAGGCAGGAGAATCACTTGAACCCGGAAGGCAGAGGTTGCAGTGAGTGGAGACTGTACCACTGCACTCCAGCCTGGGTGACAGAGCGAGACTCCGTCTCAATAATAATAATAATAATGATAATAATAATAATAATAATAGTCTTGGGCCAGGTGCAGTGGCTCATGACGATCATCCCAACACTGGGAGGCCGAGGCAGGAAGACTGCTTGAGACTAGGAATTTGAGACCAGCCTGGGCAATATAGTGAGACTTCATCTCTACAAAAAATACAAAAAATAATAAAAAGAGGCCGGGTACGGTGGCTCATGCCTGTAATCCCAGCACTTTGGGAGGCCGAAGCAGGCGGATCACGACGTCAGGAGTTTGTGACCAGCCTGGCCAACATAGTGACACCCTGTCTCTACTAAAAATACAAAAAATTATCTGGGCATAATCTCCTAATTATCCTAGCTACTTGGGAGGCTGAGGCAGAAGAATCGCTTGACCCGGGAGGCAGAGGTTGTGGTGGGCCAAGATCACACCATTGCACTCCAGCCTGGGTGACAGTGAGAGACTCCGTCTCAAAAATAATAATAATAATAAAAAGAAAGAAAAATAATAGTCTCCTAGATCCCCTGAGCTTAGGGCCTGAGCACCAGCATTTTAAGGCTCTCTGGGTAATTGCATGGCACACCCAGGATGCAGAACCGTGGTGTCACAGGAAACACTCTAACAAAACAACAGAGAAAATCAAGAAAGAGAAAGCACAAGATCAGGAAACAGGTTCCAACACAAAAACCAGGTGAAGAGAGCCTCCAGAATGACAATGGGCTGTGGTATGAGGGCAGCAGTTCACATTGGAACACACCTGGAGGCTCTGGGAGCCACATCTCCAAGAAGATGCAGCTGATCTGACACCTGGCATGAATGAGTGTAGAGAGCAGATGTGGACAACTGGCTGAGGGTGTGGAGTTGAGTTAGTGATAAAGACACAGAATAAGCAGAAGAAAAAAGCAAGACATGAAATTTTAGAACTCTGTGAGTTCTAAATTTTTACTACAGGGAAAACCAAAAGTGTGCAAGGGGGCAAAAAAGTTTCACAGTTTATTTCAAGGCTTAATGCTGAGCAGTACACATGGCCCTATGGATGCGTGCACATGCATTTGCTTTGGGGTAGGAATGAGATCTAGCTCATAGATAATGCTACTTCCATCCCAGCTACTCGGGAGGCTGAGGCAGGATAATTGCTTGAATCTGGGAGGTGGAGGTTGCAGTGAGCCAAGATCACGCCATTGCACTCCAGCCTGGGCAACAAGAGTGAAACTCCATCTCAAAGAAAAAAAAAGATAATGCTACCTCCTAAGAAGTAGCAATGCAAGCATGTTCTTTAGTGATACAGAGGTAAATGCAAAAGAATCACCTGCAAAGTTGAAAGTCATTGCCCTTGGGACCAGAGGGAGCTGGGGCTTCTGACTGTCTCAACAAGCCTTATAGAACCAGTTGACTCCTAATCAGGAGATCAGCAAACTTTTTTTCTAAGGGTACAGGTAGTAAATATTTGACACAAGGCCAGCTACATAATCTTCAGGGCCCAGTGCAAAATGAATATGTGGGGCCTCTCCTTCAAAAAGTATGAAGAATTTCAAGATGGTGACACCCAGGGTGGGGCCCTCCAGAGTGCAGGGCCTTGTGTGTGACTGCACAGGTCACATGCCCCTGATGCTGGCCATGGTTTCAGGCTTTCCAGGCCACATGAACTCTGTCCCATCTACTCAACTCTGCCATTGTACCACAAAAGAAGTCAATGACAACATATAAATGAACCAGCCTGTCTGTGCTCCAATAAAACTTTGTTAGCAAAAACAGGTGATGGGCTGGATTTGGCCCACTGGCCATAGTTTTCTGACCCCTGCCTATGAGTATATATAACTAATAAAAATGAAACTTAAAAAAAAAATCATTTTCATCAGGAAGAGAAAATGCAGATGAATAATCAAGAACAGTTTGGAACCTGGACACAGTGACTCATGCCTGTAATCCCAGCACTTTGGGAGGCCCAGGCAGGAGGATCACTTGAATGCAGGAGTTTCAGACAAGACTGGGCAACATGGCACAACCCTGTCTCTACAAAAAATACAAAAATTAGCTGGGTGTGGTGGTGCACACCTCTAGTCCCAGCTACTTGGGAGGCTGAGGTGGAAGGATTGCTTGAGCTGAGGAGGTGGAGGTTGCAGTGAGCCGACATTGAACCACTGCACTCGAGCCTGGGTCTGCCCTGTCTCAAAAGAAAAAAAGAAAGAACATTTTGAAAGAAAACAATGAGTAGGGAGTTTCTCTCACAACTATCAAGACCGACTCCAAAGCCAAGGAATGAAAATGATGGGGCGTTGGCTCAGGATTCGATATGCCAGCCAGTGGGAACAGAGACCAGGAAGGGGCCAGTGCATCTCCAAGGGATCAGTCAACGTAAAAAGGGGACACCTCACGATAAGGATGGAAGGAAGGAAGGAATGCTCACTCAACACTGAAACAGAGAGCTGGGAAGGCGCTGGCCCCAGAGCTCAGGAGCCACAGGTGTCATGCTTGCCTGCACAGACATCCACCTGGGGCCCCATGGAAACTCCTGGAACATGGGCTCAGTATTGGGGGAACCCACTCCCAATATTTCAACATACATTCTTTCTATTTTCCCTAAGTGTCGACTGGTCTGAGAAATAAAGAGAAAGAGTTCAAAGAGAGGAATTTTACAGCTGGGCCTCCAGGTGTGACATCACCTATCGGTAGGACTGTGATGCCCACCTGAGCCGCAAAACCAGCAGGTTTTTATTAAGGACTTCAAAAGGGGAGGGGGTGTATGAACAGGGAGTAGGTCACATGCTTTAAGGGGCAAAAAGCAGAGCAAAGATCATATGCTTCTGAGGAAACGGGGCAAGGACAAAATCAAAAACTCCGATAAGGGTCTACGTTCAGTGGTTCCATGTATTGTCTTGATAAACATCTTAACAGAAAACAGGGTTTGAGAGCAGAGAACCAGTTTGATCTCAAATTTACCAGGGCTGGGGTTTCTCAATCCTGGTAAGCCTGAGGGTACTGCAGGAGACCAGGGCATATCTCAGTCCTTATCACAACCGCATAGGACAGACACTCCCAGAGCGGCCGTTTATAGACCTCCCCGCAGGAATGTAATTCTTTTCCTAGGGTCTTAATATTATATTCCTTGCTAGGAAAAGAATTTAGCGATATCTCTCCTACTTGCATATCCGTTTATAGGCTCTCTGCAAGAAGAAAAATATGGCTCCTTTTGCCCGACCCCGCAGGCAGTTAGACCTTATGGTTGTCTTCCCTTGTTCCCTAAAATCGCTGTTATTCTGTTCATTTTCAAGGTGCACTGATATCATATTATTAAAACACACGTTTTACAATCAATTTGTACAGTTAACGCAAAATCACAGGGTCCTGAGGTGATGTACATCCTCAGCTTATGAAGATAACAGGATTAAGAGATTAAAGCAAGACAGGCATAAGAAATTATGAGTATTATTAGGGAAGTGATAAATGTCCATATTAAAATGAAATCTTCACAATTTATGTTCAGAGATTGCAGTAAAGACAGGTGTAAGAAATTATAAGAGTATTAATTTTGGGAACTGATATATGCCCATATTAAAATGAAATCTTCACAATTTATGTTCCTCTGCCGCGGCTCCAGCCTGTCCCTCCGTTCAGGGTCCCTGACTTCCCGCAACAGCTCAGCCCTAGGGAAAAATCTCTCTTAGACCAGTGGTTCTCAATGGGAGGAGAGGGTACTTTCCCCAGGTGCATTGTCACGACTGGGTGGTGGGTGCTACTCATGACTAGGTATCTCATGGGTGGGGCCCAAAGATGCTGCCAAATACCCTACAATGCATAGGACATCTCCACACCCCACCACAAGGAATTATCTAGTCCAAAATGTCAGTATGCCAGGGCTGAGAAACTCTCTCTAAACAAACTTCCATTCCTTGCAAACCTCTGACCTACTGCAGAGGGCCTGGAAGGCGTGTGCCCCAGGCACGCCTGGCCTGGTCCAGCCTGCCAGGAGTGACTGGGACTTTCCACCTCAAGCTCCTGGAAGTGGAAACTATGCCGCCCACCCTTCCTGCCCAGGAACTTTCTCCGCTGACCTGCCCAGACCCTGGGCTTCAGCACTGCTATTCTCTCTGCCCATGCTCCCCACCCTGGGCAGGCCCTCCCTTGGCACAGTACAGGCTGCTGGCCCAGAACCCTGGGAACATTCCTGACCTTTGCTTTGGCTTCCTCCAGCTCTTGGCAGCTTCTGGCTGGCCCTTGATGCCCATGCCCCCGGCCCAACTTGCTGAAGTGCCCATTTTTCCCTCTGCCCCTCCGTCTCAGGCTGGCTTCATCTTTGTGCCCTCCCTTGGGGAGTCCTGCTGGGTGCCCTCATCTCCCAGTGGCCAACCCAGAGTGGATGTGGGGCTCCTCTGGCCTGGTTTGGAGCTGCCCTTGGTCTGCTGTGGCCCCAACCTGCTGCTCCACCCAGATAGGAGGGTACGTGGACTCCTTTGGAGCTTTAAATGGAAGCTGGGCGGCCTGCGTTCTCCTCTCCTCCTCCTCCCTGAACCCACAGTGACCTTGGGCAAGGCCCTTCCCCCATCATCGAAATGCGAAGAAGCTGTGCCTCTGCGGCACACAGATCAGAGCTGGTGTGGGGGGAAGGGAGAGGGAGCCTGTGGGAGGGGGAGGGCGCATCCATTATGCAGATTGTGTGGAGTGCCTTCCCTTCCCCAGCCAGGAAACGCCCTCCCAGGGGCCCTCAAGTCTTCCTTGGGAAGGAAGGCGTGTTCTCAGCAGCCTTGTTTTCTGAGGCCCTGAAGCCAGCCATTAACTTGACCATTCCAGGGGAGAAACTCACAGGATTTTGTCCTTGAGTCAGAAAAGGGCCTTGGCAGAGAAGCCTGAGGCTCTCAGGGATCAGCCCAGAGCTAAGAACCCCTGAGCGTGGTTCTGGAAGCTTCAGCTCTGGCCAGTGGGGGTTCTTCCCTGTTCATACCAAGGGCTCTGTGCCCGGCAGGGGTCGGGGGTGGGGGTGAGGATGGGGGAGGAACAAGTGCAAAAGGTGCATCGTGGCCCAGAGAAGGCGGCCTGTGCTCTGCCCTGCTCCTGTGTGACCTCCAGTCATATGCTGGACTCCTCTGGGCCACAAGCTCCCAGCTGGGAAAATCTCAGTGCTCTTTGTGTAAGGGTCAGGAGAAGCCTGAGGCTGGTGACTGGGGCCAACCAGCCTGCTGGCAGCAGCATCCCCTACACGGCCACCCTCTTGGGGGGACAGGACAGCCTGGGTGGGCCTGGGCTCTCACTGTCACTTAGGAGCTCTGTGGCCCTGGGAGGCGTCCCCACCCCTCCAAGCTATCATAGCAATGTGATAGATGGGACACCTTGCCTGGGGCTCAGCACGGTCCCTACCGCAGACTGAGTTCCACTGGGACAGCAAATCCTGGGTCTGAGGCACCCACATTCTAGACATCCCCAAGCCAGGGCACAGAAACAGCCTCTTCCTCCCGGAGTCCTAATGCTCAGGCTGCTGGCTCCCTGGGCTGGGCCCCTCGGGGTCCCTGGCAACCTAAGAAGCAGTTAACCCCTTCGCTTCTCCACCTCAGGGAAGTCTGAGGACGTAGTGGTTCTATTCAAGCTTCTCCTTGCAAAGGGTCTTATTGGGGCCTGCATCCTGGGCCCAGCCTAGCCCTGGGGCTCTGGAAACAGATGTAAGTGGCAAAGGCAGGGCAGAATGCCTGGCCCTGGCAGCCGAGCCTCCTTGTGATGGTGTTGGTGTCACCACCCCTGCTAGCAGAACCCAGTCTGCCTCCCCTTCCCATGCTGCAGGGACAGGGTCTGGAGCACGCTTCCACCTCCCTGGTCACAGGAGCAAGGGAAGTAATCAGCCCAGGAAGCCGCGCGTTTCCTTCCTTTCTCACCAGCCCATCCGGGTTTGGTGAGAGAGCATGGACTTGCCCTGTGGAGACTGCAGCTTCTGGATGTGGGAAGGAGAGCCCTGCAGGCAGGGGGCTTCCAGGCTTGGGACACCTGGGCATTCCTGGGCCAGGTACATGCACCCTCCCACTCAGAACCCCAGAGAAGGACTGCGGGGCCCCTGCAGGGCTGCCCATCAGCAGTTCCCAAACCCTCACTCCTTGGGGCTAAGGGAGCAATGTCTCTCCCACAACCAAGGGGGTGGGGAGGAAGAGGAGCAGCTCCCTCCTCCCTCCCGTCCACCGGGTCCTCTCATCCTCCCTTTCATCAAAAGGCGGAAGGTGGCCTGAGACTAAGGCGTGGAGCTTCCTTGGTCCTGAAATCAGAGCGGAGTGGCTGGATCCAGCCCGCCCCTCCCCCGCCCCCTGCTCCCCTTGCCGCCCCACCACCGAGAATCACCTGCACCTCCCAGCCCTGAGCAGAGTTGGGGGCAGGCGGGAATGAGGTTTCTCCATGGCCAACTGCTCAGCCACTGTTCCCCACGCCACTGCCACCAGACCCTCACTAAGGGGCCTCTTGCCCCTCCCTGGTCAAATCTGTTTTCAGGAAAGCACCCAACAAACCTGCAACTCAGAAGCCAAATGAGACCTATCCCAGGCAGGTCCGCTCTGCGATGGTGGCTCTCATACACCGCACAGAAGTGTAAGTTGGCCCCCCCCTCACTCCCTAAATCCATGTAGATGCCCTTAGCCAAACAGGTCTGGTGTGTGGGGGCAGGAGGGTGGAGGTAGGAGCATCTGGGGGCTGGGGCTGGCTCCAAGTGCTGCAGAGAGTTCACTATGAGCTCTGAAGTCAAACTCAGATCCTGCTCCTTAGCTGTGTGGCCTTGGGCAAGCCCCTCAGCCTCTCTGAGCCTCAGGCTCCTCCTCTGTAAGTGGGGCTGTTGGAGGGATGAACTGAGATACACGTGGCAAGGTGCCTGGCCCTGAGACTGGGGGCCCCGTAAACAGCACCTGCTGCTCTGACTGAGGGGCAGTTGGAGATGAGGGGGGACTTACAGGCCCAACACCTCATCAGCAGGATGGGCCCTGGCTCTGTACACATAGAATGTTGGAAAGCTATGTTCTGGGTCCAGTTGCAAGACCATCCTGCCCACTTGCTGGGTCGCTGAGGCAGAGCGCCCTGGACTGTGCTCTGGAGAGCAGGGGGCCGTCTCTGCTCACTGCTGGGCAGTCAGAGTCAGGTCCCCAGGGAACTCAGATCAAAATCTCAGGGCAGCCTTGCTGGGTCTCAGCTTTCAGAATTGATTTCTTTGGAAGAACAGGAGGCATAGCCAGGCCAGCTGGCAATGGCTTCAGCCACAGTCCCCCAGTGCCCCATGCTGGGTGATTGATGGTAGGAGCTGTGCCTCCCTGCCAGCCCCCCAAGCCCCATTCCCTGCCATGGCTCCGACAGGGAACTCCCTGCAATTCTTAGGTGGATCCTGAAACACCCAGTCCAGACTACTTTTTCAGCCTCACAGATGGCCCAGAGATAGATACTATTAGCCCATTTCACAGATGGGACCCCAGTGAGGTCTAGAGAGGCTCTGCTCTAGCTGAGCTGGGACTCAGATCCTACTCCATGACCTCTGCCAAGGTCCAGGCCCTCTTACCGTCCTACGGGGTCCTTGCCGGTGTCCTCAGCCTCTGCCTTCCAGACCCCAGGTGTCCTGGAGCTCTGCAGATCAGAGAGGCTAGTACTGGAAGCCTGGGCCCATGCCCCCAGCAGCCCCCAGCCCAGGGGGCCCCCAAGGCTGAACAGCAAGCTCAGGATCATCTTGGTGGTGGGGCAGGCTCAGCTCACACTCAGCCTTGGCAAGTAGCTCCAGAAACTGCTAGTGACGTTGTCTTCAAGTTAAATCTCAGGAGGAAAAGAAAATACGAGGACAACAAAGAGAGGAAGTGGCCTGGGCCGGCCTACCCGGTGGGTCTTGTCCTGCCCCCCAACTACCCTGGCTGGCCCCACAGGGGCCGCCAACCACACAAGCCAGTTCCTGTCCCTGAGGACTTGGCTCAGGGACTCTGGGAATGTGGTAGACATGGGGTGGCCCCACCAAATGCATCCTTATGGGAACCTGCTCCCTGGGAGCCATGAAAAGAGCGTGGACTTCGAGGTGGGGCCACAGGAAGTGGTCAGGTCCATCTCAGGGGACCTGCTGCCCATCCACACTGCTGGCCAGGAAATGGGGGGCAATTCATGCCTCCTCAGCACCTTCAGCACTGGGCGGCTCAAAGAAGGGAAGGGACTATTCTGGGGTCACACAGCATGCAGCCAGAGGCCAAGGCATGAGGAAGTCCTTCATTTCCCCACCCCCACCCACCTCAGATCCTCCAACCGGTTTCATGGCAGCCCAGGGTCCAGCGGCATCCAGGATGCTGGTGGGTAGCTGCACAGCCCAGGCCGCGGGAGGTTGGCTGCTCTCACCTAACAGGCCTATGTGGCCCTGACCCCTACCTAGGAAGCTGGGGACAATGGCCAAGGCGCCTCCCCTCTCTGTGCCTGTCTGTCCAGGTGCAGCATAGACACAGCACCCCTGGGGCCAAGAGCACCCAGCCAGGGCTGCCCCCATGGGTGGGCAGGGCAGTAAATGAATGAGGGACAGGTTGGGAGGTGGCCAGCCCCCTCCAGCCCATGGAGGGCACGGGGCAGGAGAGCTGGGCTGAGCCAGCAGGAGCCCAGGGAGCCTGGTCTCTGCCTTCCTATCCTGGAGGAAGGTGAGGCTGAACCTCCTTCCCTCCCTCCCTCCCTCCCCGCCCCCACTGCACGCAGGGCTGGCTGGGCTCCAGCTGGCCTCCGCATCAATATTTCATCGGCGTCAATAGGAGGCATCGGGGACAGCCGCTGCGGCAGCACTCGAGCCAGCTCAAGCCCGCAGCTCGCAGGGAGATCCAGCTCCGTCCTGCCTGCAGCAGCACAACCCTGCACACCCACCATGGATGTCTTCAAGAAGGGCTTCTCCATCGCCAAGGAGGGCGTGGTGGGTGCGGTGGAAAAGACCAAGCAGGGGGTGACGGAAGCAGCTGAGAAGACCAAGGAGGGGGTCATGTATGTGGGTAAGTGGGGCATGGCAGGGTGGGACAGTGTGGTGGCCAAAGGGTGAGTGCCCAGTTACCTTCGCCAGACCTTACTCCCCAGCCCCAGGGAGGCATTTTGGGAGGGGGCGAGGCCCTGGCTATCAAGGTGGGGTCTCCAGACCCTGGAGCACCCACAATGCCCTGTGCACACCTATGTGTGTTTGTCTTTGGCCTCCTCGGGGCCTCTGGGTGTCAGAGACCGCAGACAGGGCTGGCTACCTGTCTGTGCACGCACACACACATTCCCAAGCATACCAGCCTCCCCTGAGCCTGGAGCCCCTGAAGCCATGAGCAGCCTGTGCTCAGGTGGCCCCCACCCTCTCCACACGGGAGCGGCTACAGCCAGGTCACGGATCCCCTCCCTCCCCAGAGAGAAGGGGCAGGCTGGGGGATGAAACCTAGGCTCAGTGTTCCCTCCCCCGCATCCTCTCCTGGCACTCTCCAGAGGAGGAAGGGGAGGTCAAGCCAATGACTCAGCTCTGGCCCATCCTGTCCTGTTGCTGCTTCTGAGGCCCGGCCACACCCGGGCAGGGGCTGGACCCTGGGTCTAGCCAGTGTCCCTACCTCAGGCCTGCTCTCTCTTGTCCCCCACATTCTGTCCTGTCCCCTTCCCATCCATCCACTTCTTCCAGACACAGCAGGAAGAGGCCCTCTGAAGGGGCCGCCGGCCCCCAGACACCATCCTTACCCCCCCACCGACCCCACAGTTTGTCCAGCTGTTCTGTTGTGTTTGTCCTGACCGCCCCCAACACCTCGAGGGAGGTCTGGGCTGACAGCTCCATTTCCTCCCCAGGAGCCAAGACCAAGGAGAATGTTGTACAGAGCGTGACCTCAGGTGAGAAGCCCCAGGGCCAGGGGACACATGGGGGATAGGACCCCTGGGGCTCCTGCATCCTAGTGCTGGGGCTCAAACCTAGAGTCCTGCCTTACCCCCAACTGGGGTCCCAAGCCCTACAGACCCCTGCAGACCATGAGGCTAAACTAGGGTGGGCGTCTCCTTACCCCCACCAGCATCAGAGGTGCCCTGGAGTCAGAGGGAGCAGGGGAGGGTCCCAGCAGGGCCAGGGCTCTGAGCTCCTGGGAAGGGGCTGCGAGCCTGACTCCAGCAGGCCTGCCTTGGGGCTGGGGCTGGGGTGGAGGCCAGCCAGTGTCCTCCCATAGTGGCCGAGAAGACCAAGGAGCAGGCCAACGCCGTGAGCGAGGCTGTGGTGAGCAGCGTCAACACTGTGGCCACCAAGACCGTGGAGGAGGCGGAGAACATCGCGGTCACCTCCGGGGTGGTGCGCAAGGTGAGCCCCGGCCCTCAGACCTGCCCAGTCCTCTCCTGGGCCCAGAAAGGCTGCTGGGCGGAGGCGGCATCACTCCACTCCACACCCCAGGAAACAACACGGGGGGCTGCGGCTGGCTTCAGTTTCAGTACCCACTGAGCGCCGGCATGGGGTGGGGTCCATGCTTGCTGTTCGACCTGCATTCGGGTCTGGAATCACCACAACCACCCCTTCGGGGGACTTGGGAGCCCATCTCATAGACAAGGAAAGTGAGGCTCAAAACCACATCTTCCGGACGGCTCTCAGCACTTAGGAGACACCCCATTTTATAAGTGAAAACAGGATCCCACACGGTGACAGGCAGCCTCCCGGGCAGTGGTCACCAGGCCGGGGGCTGAGTAGCACCAGCCCCGCCCCCAGGGCCTAGCCTCCCTCCCTGGGCTGGGCGGGGCAGCTGCCTCCTGCTGGGAGCCTCAGGGAAGTAGCGTCCCCTAGTGGTAAGAAAGCAGTGCTGCTTCTGACCCTACCCTCTGCAGCTGCCTTTGTGTGTGTGTGCACGTGTGTTGAGTGAGCATGTGGGTGCATTTGTGAGAATGTGTGGGTGTACATGCGTGTGAATGTACACATGCGTGTGCGGCCCAATAGCAGACAGCACAGGAGCAGTGGGGCGCACCCCAGGGACGGGTGTTGGCTGGGTGAGCTGTCCCAGCACCTGTGACACAGCAAGCTCTGCTTTACGCATTGTACGCTTATTAGTTCATTTAATAGACACAAAATCCATGAGACGGTGTGGAAACTAAGGCCCAGAGAGATTAATGTGCCCAAGGTCCCATGGCTAGTTCATGTGAGCTTGGAATTCCCCTGAGCAGCCTGTACTCTGAGAGACCCTGTGGCAGTGTAAGTGGTGGCCTGGGCTAGGATTCCTACCTGGGGGTGGGGCGGGGGAGCAGTGTCCAGCTCTCCTACCTGCTCCAGGCCTCCTAGGTGGTGGAGTCTGAGGCTCTGAGCACTGAGAATCCCTGCGTTAGGAGTGGGTGGGTGGAAGGGTGGGGGCTGCCCTACTCCTCTTGGCTCTGGGGCGATGCCCAGGTGTCTGCTTCCAGGGCCAGCACAGGGTCTCCATGTCCTTGGAGCTGGCAGCCGCTCCCTCTCCTAGTTCCCCTTTCTCGT